>NC_000001.11:49553835-49705350 GCF_000001405.40 Homo sapiens | reverse complement strand
GTATATTTAGAAAATCCCCTCATCTCAGCTCAAAATATTCTTAACCTGATAACTTCAGCAAAGTCACAGGATACAAAATCAATGTGCAAAACTCACAGGCATTCCTACACACCAACAACAGACAAACAGAAAGCCAAATCATGAGTTAACTACTATTCACAGTTGTTAAAAAGAGAATAAAATACCTAGGAATACAACTTACAAGGGATGTGAAGGACCTCTTTAAGTAGAACTACAAACCACTGCTCAAGGAAATAAGAGAGGACACAAACGAGTGGAAAAACATTCCATGCTCATAGATAGGAAGAATCAATATTGTGAAAATGGCCATACTGCCCAAAGTAATTTATAGATACAGTGCTATTCCCATCAAGTTACCATTGACATTCTTCACAGAATTAGAAAACTACTTTAAATTTCTTATGGAACCAAGAAAGATCCTGTATATTCAAAACAATCCTAAGCAAAAGAACAAAGCTGGAGGCATCACAGTACCTGACTTCAAATTATGCTACAAAGCTACAGTAACCCCAACAGCATGGTACTGGTACCAACACAGATATATAGACCAATGGAACAGAACAGAGGCCTCAGAAATAACACCACACATCTACAACCATCTGATCTTTGACAAACCTGACAAAAACAAGCAATGGGGAAAGGATTCCCTATTTAATAAATGGTGTTGGGAAAACTGGCTAGCCATATGCAGAAAACTGAAACTGTACCCCTTTTTTACACCTTATACAAAAATTAGCTCAAGATGTATTAAAAATTTAAAGGTAAGACCTAGAACAATAAAAACCCTAGAAGAAAACCTAGGCAGTATCATTCTTTTATATTTTCTTCTACACATGTTATAATTTTGGGTTTTATATTTGTGTCTATGATCCATTTTGAGGTAATTTTTGTATAAGATTTTCAGTAAGGGTTAATTATTTATATTGAACATTACTCATTAAAATACTTACCTCTTTATTAAATTTCCTTGTCATCTTTGTTAAAGTAAATTGCTCATAAATATGTGGGCCTATTTCTGTACTCTCCATTCTGTTTCATACATGTAAAGGTCTATCATTTTGAAATACCAAACTGTCTTGATTACTAAATTTATAACAGTTTTCACTAAAATTGCTTTTATGATATTATATTACATTTTTGCGTACAATGTAGAATGAGATAATCAATTTCTACAAAAAGGCTTCCAGAATTTGATTGTGGTTCCTCTGAATCTGTATACATACATTGGGGAGAAATACCATTTTAAGGTATTCTTCAAATTCTCTCGATAATATTTTGTAGTTTTTAGTGCAAAAGACTTGGATATCTTTGGTTAGATTTATTTCTAGGTATCTTGTGGTTTTTTGTTTCAACCATGGATGGGATCCTTAAAATTTTATTTTTAATTTTTTGCTGGTAGTGCCATTGCTTGTTGCTACTGCAGTTATTTTCATATATTCACTTCGTGACTTTGCTAAATTTATTTATTGGCTCAAGTAGTTATGTTGTCAATTTTCTATTCTTTACATAGAAAAATCTATGTAAATAACACTCTCATCTGTAAGTAAGGAAAGTTCTAGTATTATTTCCTCTTTCCTAATCTTTATGTCTTTTATTTGTTTTTCTTGCTGTATTGCAATAGCTTGGGTCTTTATAAAAATGTTGAATAGAAGGACACCCTACATGCTTGATCTCGGATAAATAATTAAATATTGTACCATTAAGTATGATATTAGTGCTACATTTTTGTTTTCATTTCATGCCCTTTGTCAGTATCAGGAAGTTTCCTACTAGTTGAAGTTTGATGGAAGTGTTTTTTTTTTTTAATCATGAATGCGTGTGGAATTTGTCAAATGTTTTTTCAGCATCTACTGAAATAATCTTAAGGTTATTCTCCTTTATTTTGTCCATATGGTGAATTATGTTGCTTGCTTTTTAAGTGTTAAAAGAAACTTGCCTTCTTGGATTAAATCTATTGGCATTTCTTTTGTTAACTTATACTAAGTATTATTTTGATGCTATTGTAAATGGAATTATTTTATTTTAAGAATGTTCATTGCTGGCATATAGAGATACAATTGATTTTGTATATGGATTTTATTCTGAAACTTTACTGAAATTGTTTTTTAGCTCAAATAGTTTTTTTTTTTTGGTATGTGGATTCCTTAGGTTTTTCTGCATAAAAATTATGTCATCTGCAAATAGAAATAATTTTATTTCTTCCTTTTCAATATGAATGCTTTTTTTTCTGGCATACTTGTCCTTCCTGGAATCTCCACAACAATTTTGAATAGAAATGGCAAAAGCAAAGATGCTTATCTTCTCCCTGATCTTAGAGGGATAATGTTCAGTCTTTCACCATTAAGTGGGCTGTTAGCTGTGTGTTTTTCAAATATACTCTTTATGAGTTTGAGGAAGGTCCCTTGTGTTCATCTTGAGTATTCTTATCATGAAATGTGTAAGATTTTGTCAGATTTTTTTTATGCATCTATTAGATGATCCTTGTGTTTTTGGTCTTTATTTTAATAATGTGTTATATTGCATTAGTTGATTTTCGTGTGTTGTACCAACTTTGAATTTCTGGGATAAATCTCACCTGTCATGGTGTATAATCATTTTTTATGTTGCTAGATTCAGTTTGTTAGTATTTCTTTGAAGATTTTTGAGTTTATATTTATAGGGATGTTGTTCTGTATTTTTTATTTGTTATTGTTTTTGTTTTTGTCATCATGATCTCTCCATCTGATTTTAGGATCCAGGTAATCCTGGTTTCATAGAATGAGTTTGAAAGTGTTATCTTTTCTTCAATTTTTTTTGGCAAGAGTTTGTGAAGAATTGGTGTTATTTTATTTTATTTTTTTGGGACGGAGCCTCGCTCTATCACTAGGCTGGAGTGCAGTGGCACGATCTTGGCTCACTGCAACCTCTGCCTCCCGGGATCAAGTGATTCTCCTTCCTCAGCCTCCCGAGTAGCTGGGACTACAGGCATGCACCACTATGCCCAGCTAATTTTTGTATTTTTAGTAGAGACGAGTTTTCACCATGTTGGCCAGGATGGTCTCCATCTCTTGACCTTGTAATCTGCCTGCCTTGGCCTCCCAAAGTGCTGGGATTACAGGTGTGAGCCACCACACCCAGTCAAGAATTGGTGTTAATTTTTTAACAAGTTTTAATTTTACAGAATTTATCTGTGAAAACATTTGGACATAGAATTTTCCTGGTGGGAAGTTTTTTGATTATTAATTTAATACTACTTGTTTTAGATCTATTCAGATATCCATATTTATTTTTAGTCAACTTTGTTTGTTGTCTTTCCAGACAACATACTTTATCTATCTATTTAATGTTTTTATATGTTCTTGGTGGAATTACCCTTTTTCATCATGAAATACCGCTATTCATTTCTAGTAATGTTACTTGATTTATAGTCTATGTTGTCTGATATAAGTATAGTTACATTTGCTTCTTATTGATAGTGCTTTTCTGTTAAAACGACAAATGCCATTTCATTTAGGTTATTTAATTTTTTGACGTACAGTTGGTTATAGTATGTCCTCTGTTTAATTTCTGATTTTACAAATTAGAGTCCTTTCTCTTTTTTGTTAGCCAATCAATTTAAAGTTGTCACTTTTGTTGATCACTTCAAAGGAAGAATTTTGTGTTTATTGGCTTTCAGTAATGTTTTCTATTCTCTATGTCATTTATTTCTACTCTTGTCTTTATTATTATCTTTATTCTGCTTTCTTTGGGTTTATTTTGCTCTTTTTTCCTTTTCCCCCAAGTATTATTTTTTCTTTAAATCACTTTTTTTGAGGTATGATTGACACACAAAAAGCTGCACATATTTGTTGTATACAATTTGATGAGTTTGGAGATAACTATATAACTATACATCTGTGAAACCATTACCACAGGCTTATCCATAAATATATCCATTACCTCCAAAAGTTTCCTTCTGCTTTCTTTATATATTATTACTATTTTTGTGATAAAAATACTTAACATAAGATCTACTCTCTTAGCAAATCTTAATGTGTATACATTACATTTTTTTTTTTTGAGACAGAGTCTCACTCTGTTACCCAGGCTGGAGTGCAGTGGCGCCATCTTGGCTTACTACATCCTCCACCTCCTAGGTGCAAGTGATTCTGCTGCCTAAGCCTCCCATGTACCTGGGATTACAGGCACCACCATGAATGGTTATTAAACCAGTATTTATCTGGGGATATTAGAGCTAAAACCACCTATTTTACCATCCTGATGAATTCAATCTCTTTTTATTATTTTGATATTAATAATATGTGGTTTATTTCTTCTTGGTGAGCTTTGTTAAGAGTTTTTTAATATTAAAAGTCTATTTCAAAGTATCAAACTTTCACATTTAAAATTTTTAGGGTACATTCAGATAATTTTTTTTAACATTTTCTGTTCTTTTTGCTTGCCTCTGCTTTTTGTTTTGAAAATACCATCTTTTTTTACCTCTTTAAAACAGAAGCATGGATCATTGATCTTTATCCACATGTGTAAATCATTGAAAAATTAATCATCTGTAACTATATATGTATATGTATGTGCATGTATGGTTATAAATTTACATCTTAGAGTGGATTTAGCTATATTTTACACATTTTGATTCTCACATATTGAACACAATTTAGTTTAAAATATTATTACTTAAATGAGAGAACACATGCAGTATGATATCACTCCTTTGAAATTAGTTGGGACTTGCTTTATGGACGAGCATATGATCAGTTTTGAGAAGAACATCATGTACATTTGAAAAGAATGTATATTATTTAGTTCTATAAATGTAATGTGTTTCATAATTAAAACTAGGTATTTTTAAAATCATGTTTTCAAATTATCTCAATCCTTTGCTGAATATTTCTTTTGGTATTTTTTACAGTAAGGGATATTGGTGTGTTAAATTTCTCATTTTGATTCTAGATTAATCTATGTTTTAATTTTGTCAAATTTTACTTACATACTTTAAAGATCTATCTGTCTATCTATCTATCTATCTATCTATCTATCTATCTATCTATCTATTTAATGTTTTTATATGTTCTTGGTGGAATTACCCTTTTTCAAAATGAAATACCCCTATTCATTTCTAGTAATGTTACTTGATTTATAGTCTATGTTGTCTGATATAAGTATAGTTACATTTGCTTTCTTATTAATAGTGCTTTTCTGTTAAAACTTTTTGTCATTTTATTTTCAATCTTTTTGTGCTCCTAAAAGGAAAGCTTGCATTTATAAGCAACATATAGTTGATATTATATCCAAAATAAAATTTTGTCTTGTATTTAAAAAATTATTTTATTTTATATATATAAGATGTAGAACATTATGTTTTGATATACATAATGCAATGACTACCAAAGTCAAGCAAATTAGCATATTCATTATCTCATATAGTTAACTTTTTTGGTATATGTATGCATGGTAAAAGCAACTACAATCTACTTTCTAAGCACATTTCCAGTATGATATATAATATTATTAACTATAATCCTCATGCTGTACATGATCTCTAGGTTTAGTCATCATACATAACTGTGATTTTCTACTCTTTGACCTACATATCTCATTTTGTCCACCACCATCTGCCCCTGGTAACCACCATTTTATTTTCTGTTTCTGTGTGTTTGGCTTTTTTTCTTTCAGATTCTACATATAAGTCAAGTCATGCAATATTTTTCTTTTTGCGTCTGGCTTATTTAACTTAGCATAATGTACTCCAGGTTCATCCAGTTTGTCTTAATTATAATTTTAATCCATTTACATATAACACATTTAGTGATATATTTGGGTATAAAATCTACAGCTTATGTTCTGTGTTATATTTGTCCTACCTATGTATTTTAGATTGTGTTTGTTTTCTTTCCTTGTGTTTCATTTAATGAAAGAGAACCAGGTGATATGGAGGCATTATTAACTTATTCTGAAATAGTTATTTCCAGAAGGCCATAAACTGGCACTTAATTGTGTATAAGGAAAGTATTTTTTATGTACACACACACACATACAGAGAATGCTCATCACAAGAATGATGAAGAAGGTCAACAGAGTAGTTGCAGAAGGCCAAAGACCAGATGTTCACTATTCTTTCAGACTATAAGCTTAGTGAGCACAAAGAAAGTATATGTTTGATACTATCTAGTTTCTTTTATAACACAAAGCATAGTGCCTTTTGAATGAATTACTGATTAAATGGCTTAATAAATGAATTGGTTGTAGCTATGGTAGATTCTGAAAGAAAAACACAATGAAATCAGAAGTGTTTAATTTATGGTCTCACCCTGGTGCTTTAAAACATGAACTTAAGCAAGCACTAAACATTTCTGGGTTTCAATTTACCTATCACTGGGTCATGGTGAGGATTTAATAATATAAAAGATGTCAAATCATTTTGAAACTACAAATTTGTAGACACATATGGTGGATTATTATTGGACACTATATGCCACAGTAATTTTAAGATATTGTTTATCAAAACCCATTTATACTTTTTTAGTATGAAGAACAAAATGAAAATCTGCATTTCTTTGAATATTGAAGTGAATATTAATATTTAATTTTTATATCATGAACTTTTAGAGGGAAAAAAGTACCTTTTCAACTTCTTGTTATTTTAAGAATAGTAATTTTATTAAGCCTTACCACTTAAAATGTGCTTTCAATTTATGTTATTTGTTTATTATTCCTACCAGCTCTGTTAGGTAGACAGCTATATTGTCTAGTGGTTAGAGCCAGGTTCCTTGAATTCAAATCCCAAATGTGACTTTTACTTGTTTACTTGCTGTATAACTTTGGGTAAGTTCTCTGTACCTTGGTTTTCTCAGATGTAAAATGGGGATAGTAATGGTCTCTACCTCATAGGAGTTGTTGAGAGGATCAAATAGTTTAGTTCATTTAGCATTTAGGACAGTATGTGGCCTGTAGAAATGCTCAGAAAACTTTAATTTTCTATCAAAACTTAATATTCATATACATTGTGTACGTTAATTTCAACTAGTGTTCGTAGTAGTTGGCATAGAAATAAATTTTCATGTTTCTATTAATATGATTCTAACTTTATAGTTGAGGAAACAGATGTTGGAAGAGGTTAAGTGAATTGTCTAAAGTTGCTTAGTTAGTTCCAGAACTAAAACTAAACTAGTTCTTCTGACTCCAAATTCAGTACCATTGTGTAACAAATATCTTGCCTCTCTAACAATTCACTGCTCATTAGAATATCAGTGAGAAAAAGGAGAGACAATATGGAAAATGGAGATAACACCTAAGTTTACACATTTTTTATATAACTGTTAGTTCTGTTGTTGGAGAAAATGGAAATTAGGTTTCATGATTGTGTTATTCTTATGTAGCAATTACTTCTAATTTTTGTTTAAAACCTTACTGTACATATTCTTTAACATATTCTGATAGAAGTTTAGGATATAAGAAGCTCAGTACAAACCATATATGCCTGTTGTAAAAATTAAACAAGATCCAATGTATTACAGGTAGTTTGTATACAATGAAGCTTAATACAAAATACATAAGGTATTATCATCCTCACTTTTCTATGTAAGAAACCAAAGTTTGCCATTCTTCTCTTGGTTTATAGGGGCTTACCACAGGCTTTATATAATATCCTGGTCTGTCAAAGATACTTGTAGCATAAAAGGATCTGGGTCAGAAGGGCCAGGCAGAGAAGCTTGCACCACAGCCTGGCCTAGATGAAAGCTTTTCTTACTCTGGGCTGCATTCAGACTTGGCAGCCCTTTGGATTGTGAACACTGAACCTTCAAGTACTGAATGTTGACAAATGCCACTATCAGAGAGCATAATATTTAAATGTGTGTACCATTGAGCTGCATGAACTTCTATTAAAATCCAATTCTCTTAATTTTTATTACCAGGTAACCTGGGCCGGGTGGACCAGGTCTCTGAGTTTGAGTATGATCTGTTCATTAGGCCGGACACCTGTAATCCACGCTTCCGAGTCTGGTTCAACTTTACTGTTGAAAATGTGAAAGAATCACAGGTGAGGGAAATAGTGGATACCTTCAGAGTGGTTTTGGTAAGAATAATATGCTTTTGTCTTCTTTTAGAAATATCAAAATAATGACTATATTAAGAATATATTCTTGTTTATCCACAGCAATGATACAGTTTTGGTTCAAGAGATGCAGAGAAATAGATACAATATGTTGACTTTTGTTATCTGATGGTTATTAAATAATACAAATATTTCATCTGAGAATAAAGTGTTCCTTACTGATTGAAGCATTAGCATGATATGTTAGGATTCCTTGAGGGACACTATAAGGAAACACTGGAAGAGACTTGCTATTATGTTTACAAAGGGTATTGTTCTCTATTGTCTCTTCTTTATAAAGATCTGTGAGAAACATTTCTCACAAGTCTCAGTTTCAAAAGAGAAGCTTTTCTTCTGTACAACAGAGTGTTTATATCTTTAAGACAATATGATTCTTGTAACTGATCCTATTTTCCCTTTGCTTTGGCTGCTGGGAAACTCGGAACCATATTTACAGCCCTCTCTAGTGATTCTGGAAAATATTTTTGCTTGTGCTTCTGTGTACTGACTTTGCTTTTACAAGTTGAGTATAGCTTATCTTAAACGCGTGGGACCAGAAGTGTTTCAGTTTTTTTTTCAGATTTTGAAATATTTGCATATATAATACATACTGAAATATGTTGGGGAGGGTACCCAAGTCTGAACATGAAATTCATTTATATTTCATATACATCTTGTATACATAGCCTGGAAGTAATTTTATACAATACTTTGAATAATTTTGTCCATGAAAAACTATTATTTTCCATTTGTGGCATCATTTCAGTGCTCAAAAAGTTTTGGATTTTGGAGCATTTTAGATTTTCGATTTCCAGATGAGGGATTCTCAACTTGTATTTTGAACGTATTAATCTGCTTTTAACCATAATTTCTTCAGCTACATTTTTTTAATAGTGCACGTTTTTATAATACTTTCGAATCCTATTTTTCATGAGAGACAGTATTGATGAAAATAAAGGGAACTAAAAACGTATGCTTGAATAAACATTAATAAAACTCAAATCGTAAGATATCAGTTACTATTCCGTTATATTGAGACAACTGATCATGGAAGACTCTGTACAAGCTTTGTACACATAGTGAGATTATGATTGTTTTAAGCAGATGAAAGCATAGTCCTGCAATCCAACATCTACCTTCTTACTTTATGTTGTCTTTTGCTAGTATATTTGGGAAAAAGTAGGGAGTTTAGCTTCTCCTAGGGAGTTTAGCTTCTCCTGAGTCAATCTATTCTGCTTGCTCTATCCCTTGATTGCTTGCTTCTCATCATTTTATCTCAACTGCAACTTGACTTGTGTGTCAGACAGTGGCCAGTGTCTTGAATTTAGGGACTCTGAGCCTTCTTCTATACAATATTATTCCTGGCATGCTAGCTTCAGCAAAAAGGGGGTGCAAATACAGCCACTTTGCTTTGATACTTTAATTTTGTACAACACCATGGACACAAGACTGAGTGTATGCAATATTTACTAAAGTTTAGGGGCCAACAGGAAGGAATCAAATCTAGGGAAGAGTCCTGAACATTATTTGCTAAATCTGACTTGTCTCAGAATTTTAGGACAAGGGAGAAAAAGTTACACCACACACAGAGAGCCTCTTAAGGACAAACTTTAGTTCCTAGCTTTGCTTTTTGGTTTTATTTACTCTCCTATGGCAGAGTTCCCTTTTCAGTTTTTCACAGTAACAGTAGGCATTCTCTTTCCCCTGATCTTAGGAAAACCCTCTCTTTACCTACAGGGGTTCACCTGATTCTAGGATTGTCCTACTTGTTCCACTAAGACAATCAATAATCCTTAAAGTATATTTTCCAAAGTCTGTGTTACTGAATCTAGAGAATATAATCCACGATAGGCGGCTTTAGTCACATGTACTAGACTGAGTCTTTCACTTCAAATTTGGGACCCCTATGAGATTTTCTTCATTACCTCTTTCATTCTTTTGTTAATGTTCCTGTCTCATATCAGCAACTTATGGTTGTCACAAACACATACCTCTGGAAAACAAACAATAATTCTGAAGCAGTGTAGTCAATTCATATGAAGGAAGGAAAACATTTTCTTAGAAGCAGTATAATCTGCCATGATTTCTAAATTCATAAAGGGAATTATTCTTTTCCTCTTTTTTTTTCATAGCACATCCCTCAGCTTGCCTGCTGGATCCAGGAACCCACTAACTCCTAAGAAGTGGGGCCAATTACTTTTCAAACAAGAGAATCATCTATCCTCATTGTGTTCTTTGCTAAATAGAGATTTAGCAGAAGCTCTGAAATTATACTGTTTCTTTAACTTTGGGTCACATTAAATTCCTGGCCCAGTTTTTCTTTCACTTAAGTGTCTATAAAGATTATCTTTATACAGCTTATACAAGGAGGGGTAGAGGGGTGAGATGATAAGAGAGTTAGGAAAAATGTGTTCCTTCAGTTAAACTACTTGAGATAGCCTTTTGGACAAGTTTCTCACACAATGTTCTTTGCTCTTCTAGTTTGTTTACGAGGATGTTCTTTTTGTTGTTCAAAATGTCTCTGCCAGAGTGTTATAACTTACTTATTACATGTCGAAGCTATACAGCCTCTTTTGCAATCTTATCTATCAATTAACTGTGCAAGTAACATGAATGTTTTTTAAAGGGTTACTCTTACAAGAGAGTTGGGTCTGTTTTGTGGATGCATATTTATTAAAGTTGAAGGGACCAATATTTTCCCTGTCTCTGGGTTCTGTCTGCATATAGAGTGCTATCCTATCCTTGTTCCAATTAGAAATCATGAACATGTTTATCTGGTTTCCTGGAGCCTGATGCTTTTATCAGCCTCTTTCTGTGGGCCATTGCCTCATCAACTGTAATCACATTATGGAAATCTGTCGCAAGAAGGCATAAAGATCTGCAGGAAAGATACAATATATATCTCTAGCTCACAGGATGTTTGTTTTCATGGTAGTCTACGTTAAAGAAAATAGTTTTACTATGAAGTTTGACTTGTGAGGTCTGTTTTTATAGCATCTCTTTCTATAATCTTTTTTTCATCTCTCAAATTTCCGTTAAAATGAGACCTGCATAAGTGTAATCTAGTCAAGAACGTTATTTAGGTCTTGGTACTACTAGCAGGCAAAAAAACATGTATGTATTAGTCATTGCAGGCTGACTCCATTAAATAAATTTTAAAAATTGCAGCATCAAATATATTGTATAAACAGGTCTAGCTTTTGCGTTGTATTTCTTGATGTTTCTAGGAAATAATAAAAGCTCGCAGCATATGGTGTTGTATCCCAGGACTGATATATTAACCCGTAAAAGTAGTTGCTCAATAGTGCATTTGCAAGAATCAATGAAAACTAAATGTCCAGATTCCTTTATGGAAAGGTGATTTTCTCTCTAAAAAACTGATATTAAATATTCTTAGTGGAAATGTATTAATGCAGCTGAGAGCACTTGTGTGATATGAAAGCAGATCTTCTTATTTAAATATGCTAAAAGTTCAGCCAATAAGAGAAAATAAAATGATATGCTTGGATTGATTAAGCTCTATTTCTTTTTTGTATTTTTTTATCTTTTTGAAGTTATTTTTCCCATTTTTATTGTAAAAATAGTCAATGTGCAATATAGTAAATTTGGGAAATATAATTATTTGAAGCAGAGAAAAAGCACCCCCCCACACACACAAAAATTACAATTTTACTAACTGGAAGCAAATACTGTTAATTTTTTTGGCATATTTATTTCTAAACTTATTTATTTTCTATCGTGGAGCATAATTAAATTTGTACTGTATATACATTTTCATGTTTTGCTTCTAAAGAACCTAAATATTATCACAGACAATTTTCTGTTATCAAAAGTTTGATAAATATGGCTATAAAATATTAATAGCTCTTTATTCTTGGTCATAAAGATTATTTTCCATTTGTTGTTGTTATAAGTAACAATGTAGTGAACATCTTGATGCAGGAAATGTTACCCAAATTTTATTTTGCTTCCTTAGGATAAATTCCTATGAGAGGAAATGATAGGCAAAGGGATATGAACATTTTAAAGACTCTTTACACATATATCTAAATTGATGCCAGAAAGTTTATACTATTTTACTGTCCTATCAGCAGTGAATAAGATTCCTTTATTTGAATTTCTTGCTTTGTTTTATAAACTCCAGTGTTCAGAAATCCATAATAAATTGTTACTTTTTCCTCACTTGTTTTGAAACTTCACACAGATAAATGGGATATGATGCAATGTCTCAGGCCTCTAGTCATAAATTAATTGCATTCCAGCAATAACATGAGACATCAAAACAGATAGAGTTATTATTTTGACTCCTTTTCTCAATTCATCAATCCTGTTTTACCTGGGATTGCCAATAGATTGTCGTCTGATGTATGTAATAGGAGATTTTAAAAAAAGAAGTGTTTAACAATATAGTATTTCTTGGATTACTATAAGAAATAATGTAGTTTAAACATACACATGCACACATACACACTTTTACATAGATGTGTTTAAATTTCCCTTTAAGATTCTGAGAAAGTTTGCTGCTCTTTTTTTTTTTTTTTGAGACAGAGTCTTTTTCTGTCGTCTAGGCTGGAGTGCAGTGGCGCGATCTTGGCTCACTGCAAGCTCCGCCTCCCAGTTTCACGCCATTCTCCTGCCTCATCCTCCTGAGCAGCTCTGACCACAGGCACCTGCCACCATGCCCAGCTAATTTTTTGTATTTTTAGTAGAGTCGGGGTTTCACCGTGCTAGCCAGGATGGTCTCGATCTCCTGACCTCGTGATCCACCCGCCTCAGCCTCCCAAAGTGCTGGGATTACAGGCGTGAGCCACTGTGTCTGGCCAGTTTGCTGCTTCTTTAGTCTCCATTCTGGAGAATTCAGGCTCTGAAATTTCATCCTGGCCATGGTCAAAATCAGCAGTCCACAAAGGCAGCATATCACAGTGGAATTAGCACAGACAATGGATTTAAACCAATTTTGGTTTATATTTCTGACTCTTACTTATGAGCCGTTTTACCTGTGATCAGTTTAAATAATCTCTTGGTACCTCAGTTTTCTCATCTGTAAAATGAAAGTAATAATACTAATTCATAGGGGTCTTGTGAAAATTAAACAAGACAATGTTAAGTAAAGAGACTACTAATATGGTTTGGCTGTGTCCCCACCCAAAGCTCATCTTGATTCCCATGTGTTGTGGGAGGGACCTGGCGAAAAACAATCATGGGGGCAGGTCTTTCCTGTGTTGTTCTCATGATAGTGACTAAGTCTCATGAGATCTGATGATTATATATGGGGAGTTTATTAAGTATTAACTCACATGATCACAAGGTCCCACAATAGGCCATCTGCAGGCTGAGGAGCAAGGAAAGCCAGTCTGAGTTCCAAAACTGAAGAACTTGGAGTCCGATGTTCGAGGGCATGAAGTATCCAGCAAGGGAGAAAGATGCAAGCTGGGAGACTAGTCCAGTCTCTCTTTTCACATTTTTCTGCCTGCTTATATTCTAGCCACACTGGCAGCTGATTACATTGTGCCCACCCAGATTAAGGGTGGGTCTGCCTTTCCCAGCCCAACTGACTCAAATGTTAATCTCCTTTGACAACATCCTCACAGACACACCCAGGATTAATATTTTGTATCCTTCAATCCAATCAGGTTGATACTCAGTATTAACCATCACAACTACCATAGTGTTTGGTAGACAATAGGGACTCAATACTTGATGGCTATTGTTTTTATTAAAACACCCCAACAGTATCCTGTCTGTCATGGTGGCCAACATGAGAATGCAGAGCACCATTGTCATCCACCAGGACTATCTCCACTACATCCACAAGTACAATCCTACAAGAAGCACCCCAAGAACATGTCTGCACACCTGTCCCTCTGTTTCAAGGACATCCAGGTCAGCAACATCATCATGGTGGACAAGTGCTAGCCCTTGAGGAAGATAGTGCACTTCAACATGCTCAATGTCACCAAGGCCACCACCATCAAGAATCAATTTCAGAAGTTCTGAGACTGGACATCTGCCCAGACCTCAGTATGAAGTAAAGTTGCCTTCTCATTCAAACTATAGCAACAACAGCAGCAAGAACAAAAACTACCACCACAACAGATTACTACTAGAAAACTGCTACTAAAACAGGTTTTTTGCCCTTATTCCTTTTCGACCTTCCTTTTCTCCTGTTTATCCTTCACCTCCTCCTCCACCTTCTTTCAAAACCTGTTATTGATGCTCATCATCATCATCATCATCATCAAGCAAAATGTACTAGTTAAGAATACAGACTTTTCGTTAGACATACATTCCAGGCCTAGCTCTTCCACTTACTGCCTCTGTGACCTTGAGAAAGTTATTGAACTGTCTATTTAAATTATTAATTTCTATATTTATTCAGTGGGGTTAATAGTACCTAATAGCGTTGATGGAAGAAACACATGGGATGATGCAAATAAAACACTAAATTTAATGCCTGGTCCATAGGAACAGTGCAGCAAATGTTATCTATTAATATTACTATACTTCTAATACTAATAGGAAATATAACACAGGTTCTCATTTGCTCTGTCATTCAACTTATTACATTAATAGCTAAAATTTACGGAACACTTCAATGTCATAAGTAGTGTTCTAAGCCCTTTATATTAATTCATTCATTTATTCCTCAAAGAAATTCTTTGAAGTAAGTACCATTATTAGTATCCTAACCCCCATTTTGCAGTTGAAGAAGCTGAAAGGAACTGAGACAAAGAAAGGATGAATAACTTGCTGAAGATCATACAATTAGTAAGTGGTTTATACAGGATTTGTGCCTAGGTAGTCACTGTAGGAATGCTCACTGTAGTAAATTTGGAAAATATAGCTAACTATTGAAAGCAAGCAAGAAAAAAACTGAAACACATAATCCTCCTACCTAAAAGGAATGACTGTGAACCTTTTAACATACAGGCATACTTCAGAGATATTGTGGGTTTGGTTCGAGATCATAGCAATGAAATGAATATCACAATAAAGTGAGTCACATGAATTTTTTGGTTCCCTGGTACATATAAAACTTATGCTCACTATATTATAAAATGTGCAATAGCATTATGTCTAAAATCAATGTGTATACCTTAATTGAGAAACACTTTATTGCAAAAAAAAAATTAATGTTCATCTGAGGCTTCAGTGAGTCTTAATCTTTTTGGCTGGTGAAGGGTCTTGCCTTGATGTTCATGGCTGCTGACTGATCAGGGTGCTATTGCTGAAGGTTGGGGTGGCTGTGGCAATTTCTTAAAATAAGACAGCAATGAGGTATACCACATCAGTTGACTTCATCAGTTAACTCATGAAATACTTCTCTGTAGCAGGTGAAGCTCTCTGATAGCATTTTACTCACAGTAGAACTTCTTTCAAAATTGGAGTCAGTCCTCTCAAATCATGAAAAGTAACCCCATTTGCAGTAGCCAAAAATAAAATTAAACACGTAGGAATTAACTTAACCAAAGGACTGAAAGCTCTCGTTTATGGAAGACTATAAAATATTGATCAAAGAAATTGAAGAGGACAGAAAAAAAGGAAAGATATTCCATGTTCATGGATTAGAAGAATCAACATTATTAAAATGTCCACACTACCCAAAGCAGTCCGTAGATTGAATGTAATCTCTATCAAAATACCAATGACATTCTTCACAGAAATAGAAAAAATCCTAAAATTTATATAGAGCCACAATAGACCCAGAAGAACCAAAGCTATCCTGAGCAAAAATAACAAAACTGGAGGAATCACATTACTTGACTTCAAATTATACTGCAGAGCTATAGTAACCAAAGCAGCATGGTACTGGCATAAAAGCAGACACATAGACCAAGGAACAGAATAGAGAACTCAGAAAAGAATCCATATTATCTACAGTGAACTCCTTTTTGACAAAAGTGCCAAGAATATACATTGGGGAAAGGACAGTCACTTCTATAAATGCTGCTAGGAAAACTGGATATCCACATGCAGAAGAATGAAACTAGGCTCCTGTTTCTCACTATCTACAAAGTTAAATTAAAAGAGATTAATGATTTAAATCTGAGACCTCAAACTATGAAACTACTAAAAGAAAACATTGAGGAAACTCTCCAGGGCATTGGCGTGGGCAAAGATTTTTTGAGTAATACTCCACAAACATAGGCAACCAAAGCAAAAATGGACAAATGGGATTATATCAAGTTAAAAAGCTTCTGCACAGCAAAGAAAGCAATGAACAAAGTGAAAGATGACTCACACAATAGGAGAAAATATTTGCAAACTCTACCCACCTGACAAGGGATTAATAATCAGAAAATATAAGGAACTCAAGTAATAGGAAAAAAATCAAATAATATGATTTAAAAATGGGCAAAAGTTCTGAACAGACATTTCTCAAAAGAAGACATACAAATGGTAAACAGGCATATGAAAAGGTGCTCAACATCAGTGATAATCAGAGAAATGCAAATCAAAACTACAATTAGATATCATCTCATCTCAGTTAAAATAGCTTATATCCAAAAGACAGGCAATAACAAATGCTGGCGAGGATATGGAGAAAAGGGAACCCTCATACATTGTGAGTGGGCATGTAAATTAACACAACCACTATGGAGAACAGTTTTGGACCTTTTTCAAAAATCTGTAGAGCTACCAAATGATCCAAAAATCTCACTGCTAGGTATATACCCAAGAAAGGAAATCAGTATATTGAAGATATATTTGCAATGTCATGTATATTGCAGCACTATTCACCATAGGCAAGATTTGGAAGTAACTCAAGTGTCTGTCAACAGATGAATGGATAAAGAAAAATGGTACACCTACACAATGGAGTACTATTCAGCCATAAAAAAGAACGAGATCCTTTCATTGGCAACAACATGGATGGAACTGGAGGCCATTATGTTAAGTGAAACAAGCCCTGCACAGAAAAACAGACTTTACATGCTCTCTCTTTTTGTGGTAGCTAAAATTAGCTAAAAATTAAAACAATTTAACTCATGGAGGTGGAGACTAGAAGGATGGTTACCAGAGGCTGGGAATTGTAGTGGCATGATTGTTGTGGGGAGGGTGTGGAAGTGGGTATAATAATAGTTAGAAAGTATGAATAAGACCTAGTATTTGCTAGCACAACAGATTGGCTATAGTCAATAATAATTTAATTGTACATTTAAAACAACTAATATAGTATAATTGGATTGCTTATAAGACAAAGGATAAATGCTTGAGGGATGCATACCCCATTTGCCCTGATGTGATTATTACAATTGTATGCCTTTATCAAAATATCTCATATACCTTATAAACATATATACCCACTATGTGCCCATAAAAATTAAAAATAGAAAACATTCAGAGGGAAGTGTTGTATTCAATATGTAGAGGATATGGTTAGCTTAATGAATTTGCGTATGTACTTTATTATTTCAATTTTAGTGTAAGTGTGGCAAACATGAACATACTTGTATTTTTTTAATTTTTTTTTTATTTTTTTTAGATAGGCTTTTACTCTGTCATCCAGGCTGGAGTGCAGTGGCATGATCTTGGCTCACTGCAACCTCTGCCTCCTGGGTTCAAGCAATCCTCCTGCATCAGCCTCCTGAGTAGCTGATACTACTACAGGAGTGCACCACCATGCTGGACTACTTTTTTGTATTTTTGTAGAGATGAGGTTTCACTGTGTTGCCCAGGCTGGTCTTGAACTCCTGAGCTCAAGTGATCCGTCCCCCTCGGCCTCCTAAAGTGCTGGGATTGCGGACATGAACCGTTGTGCTCTGCCCATATTTTTATTCTTTCAAGTCGGCTTCTATTGTTTTACAGAGATAACTTTAAGTTTCTGGGGACTGATAATAAACCTAGTAACTATTCCTATTATTAAGTTCATATTACAAATGACAAAATCAAATTTGTTTCCTTACTTTACCACTTTTAGAGTCATTTCCTAAATTTATCTGTGCCTTTCTATCTCTGCTACAGCCATTCAAGTTTAATCTATTTACATATATTGTTTGGACTATGGCAGTTGTCTTCCAACTGTGGTTTTGTCCAGGGTTTCATGCAATTTAAGTTCATCCTTCACACTGAAGCTGGAGCATTATATGTAAAGTGCAAATTTAACCTTGCCACTCCACTGCAAAATGCCTTAAATACCCCTCTATTACCTTTAGGGTAAAGTCCAAACTTCTTAGCCTGGCATGTGGTACCATTCATGATCTAGTTCTTATCCAGTTTGCTTTTGACTTACATACTTATTGGCCTTCTTGTAGTTCCCTACAGCGACCATGTTGTTTCATATTTCCATGAATTTTACTGTATTTTTCCTGTAATGCCATTCTAACATTTATTCATTTGGATTAAGCTCAAGCTTTGGAGTCAGACTGCCAGGGTTGGTATTCTACTTCAACTATTTACTGTGTCACCTGGGCAAATTATTTTATACTCCCTCTGTTTCAGTTTCCTACCTACCTGAGATAATATACACAAAACAATTGCAGTTTTGCCTAACATGTAGAAAGCTTTCCATAAATTTTACTTTCTTATTATTTATATTCAATAAATACTTATTGTGTGTGCCAGATACTGCTCTAGGCATTCAGGAATCAGCATTGAATAAGACAGATAAGGTTCTTCTGTTCTGGAGAAGCTTATTTTCTATTATGTGAATAAAGACAATAGATAGGAGCAAGTAAACAAAGTATTTTTAGAAGTGGCAAATCCTACCACAATTTGTTTATCCACTTAAGGGATTATATAAATGTTTTCAGTTTTTGTGATTATGAATTGGCTTTGATTATGACTGACTTTGTTTCATGGGATGATTTCAGGGGGCCAAGGCTGAGGTCAGCACTCCTGGGCTGCATGCTTTAGCCCTGAGGGGCTGGAACTAGGCCAATGGCATTGTTCTCTGGCTTGTCAAGATTAAGCACTTACTGTGCTGGAGGAGCCGAGGTGTTCCCCATCCACTGGCAACAACATTCCCATGGAGGGTGCTGGCAAAAGAACTTCAGTGGGGCCGTGGCGGGGGTCCTTATTAGAGAACCCAGAAATAAAGCCACATATCTATAACCATCTGATCTTCAACAAAGATGACAATAACAACCACTGGGGATAGTACTCCCTGTTCAATAAATGGTGTTGGGATAACTGTCTAGCCATCTGCAGAAGACTGAAACTGTACCCCTTCTTTTCACCATATATAAAAATCAACTCAAAATAGATTAAACACTTAAATATACAACCTAAGACTATAAAAATCCTAGATGAAAACCTAGGAAATACCATTCTGGATATAGACCATGGTAAAGATTTTATTAACAAATACTCCAAAAGCAATTGCAACCAAAACAAAAATTGACAAATGGGACCTAATTAAACTAAAGAACTTCTGCATAGCAAAATACACCATCAGCAGTGTAAACAGACAACAAACAAAATGGAAGAAAATATTTGCAAACTATGCACTTGACGATGGTCTAAATTCCAGAATCTATAAGGAACTTAAACAAATCAACAAGCAAAAAACAACCTGATGAAAATATGAGCAAAGATGAAAGGACACTTCTCAAAAGAAGACATACAAAGGGCCAACAAGCTTATGAAAAAATGCTCAACATCCTTGATCATTACAGAAATGCACATTGAAACTACTATGAGGTATCATGTCACACCAGTCAGAATGGCTACTATTAAAAAGTCAAAACATAACAGATGCTGGCAAGTTTGTGGAGAAAAGGGAACGCTTATACACTGCTGGTGAGAGTGTAAGTTAGTCCAGCCATTGTGGAAAGCAGGTTGAAGATTTCTCAAATAAGTTGAAACAGAGCTACCATTTGACCCAGCAATTCCATTACTGGTTACATACCCAAAGGAATATAAATCCTTCTACCATAAAGACACATGCACACATATGTTCATTCCAATACTGTTCACAATGGCAAAGACATGGAATCAACCTAGATGCCCATCAACGGTGAACTGAAAAAAATTGTGGATTGAAGAAAATGTGGTATGTATACACGACTACTGTGCAGCCATAAAAGAATGAAAGCATGTCCTTTGCAGCAACATGGGTATATCCTAAGTGAATTAACATGGGGACAGAAAACAACATACCACATGTTCTCACTTATAATTGGGAGCTAAATATTGAATACATGTGGACACAAAGAAAGGAACAATAGGCACCAGGGCCTTCTTGAAGGTGGAAGGTGGGAGGAGGGTGAGGTTCAAAAAACTACCCATTGAGTAGTATGATTACTACTTACCTGATGAAATAATTTGTATATGAAATCCCAGCCACATGCAATTTACCCATGTAACAAACCTGCACATGTACCCCCAGAACCTAAAATAAAAGTTAAAAGGAAAAAATAAAAATGAAAGTTTATCACTTTTAATTGGGCTGGGTGTCAGGAAATAGATAAAAGTAGGTTTTAAAGAGAACACTGTACTTGATCCAGTCCTTAAAGCTGCCTTAAATAGGAAAAACTCATCTTAGTCAAATAAATATCATAAACCTGTTACGATAGCCAAACTTCAATTTAATCATGAAATAAGTGGTAAAAACAATTAAATCATATAATGCTGTCAATTTATATAAAGCAAAGCATGTCTTTGCATTTTTATTAAGATTATAGAGTTGGCCTTAGAATGGGGTAGTTATATTTCACCTTTTATTGTGCTTTAACATCAACATTGATTGATGTGACATGACATGGTTACTTGTTTATGAAGAAAACTAATATGAGCTTCACACTGAGGAATTTCATGCTGGATTTTCTTTTACCCTTAGTGTGTGGTTTTTTAACTGCTGAACAATTAAAAAAGACCCAAATTTAGACTGGAAACTTATTGTGACATAAACTTATAAATATTGCTGTTGCAATATAAATAAAACACAGATGTAGAAAGTGAAAAAGATCTTTATGCAAATGAAACTGGGTACCAGAAACAGAACATCTTAGGCTAGATGAATCTTAAAGCTATGGGTTTTTGGCTGATCTACTGCCAAAGAAATGAGAGATTGATATTTAAATTTTATGTAAAATTTTATGGGTTGTCTAAGTCTTGCTTTGGCAGAACAAAAACAATAAAATCAAGAGGAAAAGGCACTGAAACTTTATAGACATTGGTTTGCTGGATATATGGGAAAAGCTTTAGAGTCTAACCAGATAAACTGTCAGAGGCTCTTATTATGCCCCATTATGAATCTAGAATGGTTCAATCCACTTGTAGCCTGACCTACTCTTGTGCTCACCTTTGAATTTTAGCTAACTTTCTTGTGCCATTCTGCAGGATGATAAACTAAATGCTGATTACTCCTCAGTCTTGAACTTTAGTTTCACTGCAGTGTAATTCATCTTTCCAGCAGCCTACCAAACACTTCCACATCAGTATTGAACAGCAAATTTTCATCAAGTGTGTATCCTCTTTTTGCAGTCCTATTTTTAACTTATTGTACCATTTGCTGTCTACTTAATTACTCAGATAAAAATTTGGGATTCATTCTTGATGATTCATTCATTATTCATGTCGTTTCCTCATTTGGAAAGCCTTTCTGTATTTCTCACTTTGTCTAGCTCACAAAACCTTTTAGATATGGATAAAGTCTCTTTCCTTTTGGGAAGCTTCTCCTTACTTCCAGGCTATTCTCCCACAGCTTCCATTGCTGATGCTAACATAGCATGGTTATCATATGATGTTACACTTGATGTGTCATGTGTTCCTTTCCCTGATGGATTTTTAGCTACCTTCTATTAGAGACTGAGACTTAATAATTTCTTATTTAAATTTCTATGAAATAGAGCTTCTTGTGAGGACTGAAATAGCTAGCACTGAGATATAATGAGTGCCTGTGGCTGTTAGCTACTATTATTATTACTTACTATTATCTTGGTTTCTGCAGTGCTTAATATAATATCTGCCTTTAAAAAATGGATATGTTGATAAAACAAGTGAGTTTAACCTTTATCTCTGCAATGACACCCTGGTATAGCCTCCTTTTGGACATCAAGACTCCGCTTTTTTAGGGGTAATGAGATTTTCTTCCCAGGCTGATATGATTCTCTAGCCAGTGCCTTTTTTGCCTGAATTTGTACCTGAACCAAGAGGCCTGCTAAATATGTTTTTTTTAATTGAAAATGCACCTAGTGACCTTGAAACTAATAAATTATGCTTCTGGTGAACTTCTAAATTAGCAGTAAAGACGATGGCCAGTCTGTGATAATCCAGAGCAAACATCAGTCTAAGACCTGGGATAACTTTTAGAACTCAGCATAGACGTTGTGAAGTAGAACCTTTCTCTGAGCCCCTTGACTGTGTTAGGTCTCTCATTGTGTCTCTTCAATCATATCTTCTTCAATCATAGCACTTAATATACCATGATGAAATTTTCTGTCTCTGCTCTGAGACTATGAGGGTAAAATTTGTCTTTTTCATGTTGTCTTCCTAGGACAGGTTCATCTACATAATTTGCGAAGCCCAGTGAAAAATGAAAATGCAGAAACCCTTGTTAAATAATATGAAGAATTTCAAAATGGTGACATCAAAAGATTAAATCAAATGTGGGCCCTACTCATTGTGGAGCCCTGTGCAGCTGCACAGGTCACACACCCATGAAGTTGGTCCTGCTCTAGGGCCTTCGTCTGGTATGAAGTAGTAGGTTTGACAGATAAATGAATAGATTACTAACATGTAAGCTATTGAAAAATCTGTGATGAGTGGGCAATAACAATGACCTACATTGAATAAGCATCAAAAGTGAGAGGCCAATATTTTTCAATAGTAGATAGAACTTTCTTACACAATCATTAATGAGAGTCAGTAATTTATTAACTTTATGTCTTATTTATGTATATTTTTTCTGGGGGGACGGAGTCTCACTGTTTCACCAGGCTGGAGTGCAGTGGCGTGATCTCGGCTCACTGCAACCTCCACCTCCCAGATTCAAGAGATTCTCCTGCCTCAGCCTCCTGTACCTGGGACTACAAGCGTGTGCCACCACACCCAGATAATTTTTGTATTTTTAATAGAGATGGGGTTTCACCATGTTGGCCAGGATGGTCTCGATCTCTTGACCTTGTGATCCTCCCTCCTCGGCCTCCCAAAGTGCTGGGATTACAGGCATGAGCCACCGTGCCCCACCTATATGTTTTTTAATCAAGGAAAGTAATCTTGACTCTTAAATTAATAGATAATTACATTAAATTCTTAATTCCAGATTTATTTTTTTAAAGAAATAGTTTGCTGTACTTTTTTAGTAGGCAGAGGCCAAGGTAGGAGAAAGCCACTTTCTTTCTTGATTTAAATAAAATTGCAGCTTAATGGTAGGCACAATCTTTTCACCATCACATATTTCCAGAAAATTGTAGAGAAAAACTTCCATATTAAAAAGGCATGGCATTTACTCTTTTACTTTGCTAAGCCAATGACCAATACAAAAGTACTTATAATGGCAAAGGGAATAAAGGATCTCTCACAGAAGTTTGTATATAGATTATTGTAGAAACAGAGTAGCTTCCTTAATTTGCAATGTAGAAACACTGTTTTATGACTTTCTGCTGTGAAATCAGAGAGGCTGGAATTGTGGCTCCAGAAAGATGTAGTAGACATATTTTTCCCTAGTTTTCCTAGTAAATGCAACTAAAACCCTGAACATTTTATATAAAACATAAGAAGACTATGAAAGGTGGAGTAAAGAAGGCAGACCATCTAGGGACTTGAGGACTTGCAAAATAATGTGACGCTAGAGTGCTAACACTGGAAGCATAGTGGGGAGACTGAATGATAACCTCCACCTCACAGTAACATGGTCCCTTCATCCTTCTGATATCAATATAAGGCAAGTGGAGAATCTGGACTTCTATCCATACCTGGAAGTAATGAGGTAACCTCCCCTTTTCTTCTAGAACAATGTTAAAAGAACACTGCTAAAACACAAGATTGATATAAAATCCAGGATTTCATAAGATAATATAAAAATATTTAGATTTTAGTTAAAAGTAATCTGTCATAGCAAGAACTGGGGAAATCTCAACTTGAAACACAAAAGATAACCAACAGACACCAACATTAAGATGACACAGTTAGAAGTATCTGCTGAGGTTTTTAAAGCAGCCATCATAAAAATTCTTTTACAAACTATTACACATTTAAAACAAATGCAAAACACAGTTTCAGTAATGAAATAGAAGATACAAAGAACAACCACGTGGAAATTTTAGAACTGGAAAATACAATAAATGAAAGAAAAACTCAGTGAATGTGCTCAATAGAATGGGGAGGACAAAGGAAAGTGTCAGTGAACGTTAATGTAGAATGTAACAATTATCCATTCCAAGCAACAGGAGGACAATAGTTTAAAAAAAAAAAAGGAAAAACAACAGAGCATCAGGAACATCAGGGAATTCAACAGAATGATCTAAATTCATGTTATTGAAGTTCCAGAAGCAAAGGAGAAAGAGACTGGAGCTGAAAATCATTCATACAAATAATGGCTGAAAATTTCTAAATCATAGCAAATACATAAACCTATAGATTGGGTGAACCTCAAAGCAGGATAAACCCAAATAAAACCATGGCAAGACATATCATAGCCAAATTTCAAAAACCAAATTAAAAAAAATTTTTGAAAGAAAACAGAGGAAAGAAATGCTTACTTATAGAGAAAAAAATTTGAAAGATAGAGGCTTTATAATAAGAGATCATGGAACCCACAATAAAGTGCTGTAACATTTTCAAGTGGTATAGAAAATACCTATCTACTTAGAATTCTATATCCAGTGAAAATATGTTTCAGGAATGAAGAGAAAATCAAGGCACTCTCAGATGAATGAAGGAAAACTAATAAAATTGTTGCCATACAGCAAGAATGACTAAAAGAAGTTCTTAAAAGGAAAGGAAAATGATAAAAGAAAGAATCTGGCTGGGCACGATGGCTCACACCTGTAATCCCAGCACCTTGGGAGGCAGAGGTAGGCGGATCACAAGGTCAAGAGATCGAGACCATCCCGGACAACATGGTGAAACCCCATCTCTACTAATAATACAAAAAATAGCTGGGTGTGGTGGTGCATGCCTGTAGTCCCAGCTACTCGGGAGACTGAGGCAGGAGAATCTCTTGAACCTGGGAGGCAGAGGTTACAGTGAGCCAAGAGCGCACCACTGCACTCCAGCCTGGTGACAAAGCAAGACTCCATCTCAAAAAAAAAAAAAAAAAAAAGGGAAGAAGAAGAAGAAGAAAATCTTGGAACATCATGAATGAATTTAAAAAAAAACAGAAAATATTGTTTCTTCTACTCTGTTCTTAATTATGTTTGAAAGTTGAAACAAGTAGAACAGCATCTAATGCAGTTCAATGCATGTAGAGAAAATATTTAAGGTAATTGTGTTATAAATGGTAGAGCATTAAGTGATTAAAAGAGATGTAAAATTTCTGCATACTTCACTCAAACTGGTAAATGTTGACAAAGTAGACTATGATAAGTTATGTATATATGGTATGCTACCTAGAGCAACCACTATGTGCTGATGAAAAAGATATATTGAAAAACACTATGAATAATTCAAAAACAGAATTCTAAAAAGAAGAAAAGTTCAGTTAACCTACAGAAAGCCCAGAAAAAGTAAATGGAGACATGAATACAGAGAGAACAAATAGAAAATTAAACAAAATTATAGAATCAAGCCCTAACATATGCATAATTCCATTAAATGTAAGTGGCCTTATTTACAGCAATTAAAAAGCAGAAATTGGCAGCATGACTAAATAAAAGAGAGAGATGCAACTATATACTTTCTACAATAAATGTATTTCAAATGTTATTATATAGATAGATTGAAAGTAAAATGATGGAGATTCACACACACACACATGCAAACATACACACACAAGCACACACACACCTTGGTTATAATAAACCAGAAGTATATATATGCATATCAAATAAGTAGAACAAAGAAAATTATCAGAGACAGAGAAGCACTTCATGTAATGACAAAAATGTCAATTCACCAAGAAGGCATCTTCTTCTGAATGTGTATGTATCAAACAACAAAGCTGAAAAGTATTTGAAGCAAAAACTAATAAAACTGATTGAGGAAATACATAAATTCAGAATAGCTAAAGACTTCAACACCCCTCTCTCAACAACTGGTAACACATCTAGATGTAAAATCATCAACGACTTAAAACTTAAGAGTACCATCAACCCACAGGCATCAATCAACATTTATAGAACACTCCACCCAATATGAGAATAAACAATTTTTTCAAATGACCATGGCATTCAATAGAAGATATACCATATCCTGGGACATTAAGCACACATTAACAAATTTTGGGAAATTTCAATCTATATATCCCATATATAGAGGATATACCATATCCTGGGACATTAAATACACCTTAAAAAATTTTAGGAAATTCCAAATAATTGAAATGATACAGAGTGGGTTTTTTGATCACAGTGAATGGAACTAAAAGCAAATAACAGAAAAATAAAAATAAATCTTCAAACATTTGTAAACTAAACAATGCACTTATAAGTAATTTATGGTTTTAAAAGTTAGTCCCAATGAAATTTAAAAAACACAGTGAAGTGAATGAAAATGAAAATACAACTTACCAAAATTTGTGGCCGGTAGCTAAACCAGTACTGAGAGGGCAATGTATAGTTCTAAATACTTACATTAGAAAAGAAGAAAGTCTAAAATCAGCAATCTAAGCTCCTTCCTTCAAAGAAATCATATAAAGAAGATAAAAATTAACCCAATGCAAACTGAGGGCAAGAAATAATAATCGGAGTAATCACTGAGATTGAAAATGAAAAGCAGTAGAGAAAATCAATCTAGCAAAAGTGGGTTCTTTGAAAAGATCAAAAGAAATGATAAAAGAAAAACCTGCAGTATGGCTGATGAAAACACAAAAAGACACACATTATTAATATTAGGAATGAAATAGGAGATACCACCATAGACTCTGAAGATGTCAATAAAATAACAAAGGAGTAATATGAATAGCCCTACACACATAAATTTGGCAAGTTAGATGAAATGAGACAATTCCTTGAGAAGTACAAACACTACAAGTTACAAAACATGAAATATATAATTTGAATAGCTCTATAACTATTAAGGACATTGAATTTGTAGTTTAGAAAAATAAAAACGTTTTCAAAAAGGATGTGTCCAAGCCTTAATTGTTTCACTAGAGGATTCTACCAAATATATAAAGAAGAATTAGCACCAGCTCTGCACTGTTTATCCAAGTCAGCTTTAGGTGCCGTAACAAAATATCATAGACTGGGTTGCTTAAGCAGCAGAAATTTGTTTTCTTACACTTCTGGAGAATGGAAGTCTAAGATCAGGGTGCCAGCATAGTTAAGTTCTGATAAGGAGTCACTTCCTGGTTACCTTCTTGCTGTGTGTTCACACTGTGGAGAAAGCAAGCAAGCTCTCTGGTGTCTCTTCTTATAAGGGTACTGATCCCAACATGAGGACCCCACCTTTATGACCTCATCTAAAGCTAATCACCTCCCTAACTCCCCATCTCCAAATGTCATCACATTGAGAGGTCTTCAAAATACTAATTTTGGGGGTCACAATTCAGTTCATGGCACTGTCTTTTCCAGAAAATAGAGAACAAAACACTTTCCACCTTATTTTATGAGCTCAGTATTGCTCCAACACCAAAATGAGAACAAAGAGAGTGCAAGTTAAAAAGATAAAACTACAGACCAATATGGATGCAAAATTTGTGAACAAAATATTTGTAAAGAGAATTTATCAATATATAAAAAGAATTATATACCAAGACTAAGTGGGGTTTTTTCCAGTGGTACAAAGCTGGTTCAGTATTCATAAATCAAGGATTGTAATCCATCACATAAATATGCTAAAGATGAAAAAAATCACATGATCATATCAGTTGATGCAGAAAAAGTATTGGCAAAATTCAACACCTATTCATAATAAATTTTCCAAAAATTTTTCCTGCATAGGTTAGAGATTGGACTAGACATTGGGGTTACAGAGATTATAAAGATATAAGAATAAAGATGTAGTTCTTCTCCTTAAGGCATTCAGGTTAGTTGCAAGAGAGAGAGAGAGACTAAGTAAGTAGAATACAATGTGCGTATGTCAGGAGAAGAGAGCAATAGCCTCTTTTGGGAGGTGCCAGGTAATGTTTCCTAAACTGTTACTATTGAACTTGGTCTAAAAGGATAAATAATAGATATTCTTTAAACAAAGAAAAAAAAGAATATTCCTGGCAGATGGAATAGTGAAAGACACAGCAGTAAAAACCATGGCATATCACTCAATATACTAGGCATTCTTAAATGATTCCCTTAATCTCTTGGCTTATACATCCTTTGCTGTTATTATTAAGAAGCAATGTTACATAATGGAAAGAGCATAGGCACTATCTATGGTTAGCCAGGCCTGACTTAAAATTCAGCTTTATTACATTTATATCGCCCCTCTATGTACAAAATGTGACTAATAATACCTGTATGTAGGATTGATGTGAACATGTCATAAAGGTAATAGGACATATGAATACCATTCTCTATCTTTGACATATTGTATGTACATGACACATAATAATGTATTTATCTGATAAATGTTTTCAAAATGTTTGTGAATTCTTAATGGTAGTCAGTTAAAATAAGAATTTACTAAGAACAAGCAACAGTGTAACACACAGACTGGCTGTATGTTTTCATTTTTAGAAGGAATATGAGCAAAGTGTATGACAACCTAAGTAGAGAAAGAATAAAATTATCTTTCCTTTGGAAGCCTTTTCAATGCCAAATGATATTACCCCAGATCAATACTTGGGTTGTATTTAGATTTTGTTGAAGACTAAATTGAAGACCTGGGCAAATTTTAGACCATATATTCCCTCATGAAATTACCTTGTGCTGCAATGCCTGGATCATCTTATAAAAGGTGATGAATACAGACTGAGTCCTAGACTGGGACTTAGTGTCTTGAGAATGAAAATAACACTATCTTAATGGAAACATTGATTTCCAGATGAATTAATGGAGTGGTTTGCTAACAACAATGGATACAGGGTCAGAAATATTGGAATTTAGGTTTACTTTTACCAAATTGCTCATGTGACCTCAGGTAAACCATTTTACCTCTCTGGGTGTTTGTTTTCTCATCTGCAAAATAAGAATAATAATCCTTAGCATCCTTACCCCTTAGGATTATTATGTACATCAGTTGAAATGATGGACATAGAACTGCTCTGTAAACCAGCCAAAGCTATAATTGTGAGGGGTTTATTTTTATCGGCACTACTCTCACATAACTTGCAGTCAAGAAATGGGTCCTTAGCTACCTCTGTCACTAATTTGCAGTAGAACTTTGTGCAAATCACTGCCTTCCTTCAGATTCAGATCTGTAAAATTAAGTGATTCACAAAATTAGTGATTCTCATCTGGAAAGTGGATCCCCCCTGGAGGAGGCTTTAAATCATATATGCTCTTTCTCCCTGTGGAGAGTTTGATATACTGTCTCCCTTAGTAGATACAGATACAATATTAAGAATACTACAGTTAACCTACTGACAAACCCATCCCTTGGACAAGGCAACTAAGATGGCTTTTCTGAGCCTTTTGTTTGGAGTAAGGTATAGACTCATGGGGCTGATTTATTACTGTTTTCTGAATCATTAGCATGATTTTATTTTTATTTTTTATTTTTATGGATTCAAGGGGTACATGTGTAGATTTGTTACATGAGTGTATTGTGTAATGCTGGGGTTTGGGTTACCCAAATAGTAATATTGTACCCAACAGGTAATTTTTCCCGGCTTACCTCCCTCCCACCCTCCTCACTTTTGGAGTCCCCAGTGTCTATTATTTCCCTCTGTATGTTCATGTGTATCTGTTGTTTAACTCCAATTTATAAATGAGAATATACAGTATTTTTTTGTTTCTGTTATGAAATTATTAACATTTAATATCAAAATCTCTTTAATGATTATGGCAAGGGGCCCATGAAAGATTCCAACAATGTGGCCTTTTTTTAAAGTCTAATTATCTTGTCTAGGTTCCAGCCCACACCCTTCTAGGGATGGCCTGCATGACAGTGTCTTATCCCTTGGTTGGAAAACAGAATGACAATCACTAGATTAGATGATCCATAGGGACTTCCATCTTCCACATCTCAGGCCTGAAACTTAGAATCTTCAAGACATTTAAAACAATTTTAGTTGTCAATACTTTGTAATTCCAGTTTAGACAGTACCTATTGCTTAAGAAAAGCTAATCCCCAGGCATTCTAATTTCTTATCTCAGTGTAGCTATCACTCAAATGTCAAAAGCTCATTACAAATGTCATAAACAAAATCAGTATTGAGTGGGGAAGATCATGGTATTAACTGCATGTGCAAGCACTATTTTGTGATTTGACATTGTTTCGTTACTGCTTGACATACTTTCATTGTATCAAGTTGTGATTAATCAAATCTTGCAGTGATACCTCTCTATCTCTCAAAGACTGTAATTCTACCACTTAATGGTGATTTCGTTCTTTTTTTTGGAAAACAGTTAGCTGCAGATCTAGGTAGATAGTTAGGCTGTTACCAGGTAATAGATTTTTTTCTTCTGTCTCATTAGCCTGAAGAAATGTGAAACTACGTGTGGTTAAACATATGTGTGTGTGTGTGTGTGTGTGTGTGTGTATTTTATTCTTATATATATTCTTTTATTCTCTTTAATAAAAATATATAAATTTATATATAAATATAATTATATATTTATATCTTTTTTATTCTCCTCTGGGCCAAGTTTTGTGTAGAGTAGAAATAGCAAGCATGGGCTGGGCAATTGGGCAAGTTAAGATGAAGATCTGATTTTGTATTTGACTCACTCTTGTAGAGGAGGTGTCATGAAGAATACATGCTGGGCCCTTTAAAGTAGAGGTTTTTCAACATAGGATATGACCAATAAATGCAAGGTAATTGAGTGTTCCTAATGTTTCTAGCCTCATTTTACCCACCTAAAAGCAAAAGAGTTGGATGAGAAGACATCTCAGGACCTTCCAAGGCTGGTGGTGTTCTAAGATTTCAAATAGAGTTCTAAAAAAGAAAAAGCTGTTTCTCAATTTTCGTGGGTGCTTATAGATCACTAGTGAGCTTGCCTTTTTTTCCGACCTATTAAATTCTGTGACTATTGATGGAAATAGTCTTGGGTACACACACTCATGATTCTTTTCTGCATGGGATTGTACCTTTTCTGAAACTCTTTTCCATTCCTTCGTCATCAGGTGGTCATTCAGGCGATCTTCAGTCAGTCATCATTCAAGCACCAGCTTCAAGATATAACCTCCAACCCCCTGTTCCTAGCCCTCTATGCACTTTCCTCTTTCATTTAGGAAGAATTAGGCACTTCTTCTCCAGCATCCCCATAGCATTTCACAACTCAGCACACTAGATTGTGATTATTTGTTTATACTTATGTCTTTCTCACTGATCTGTGAGCTTTATTTTACAGGTGGAGGCCATTTTATTTGTTACAATGTCTGCAGCAGTCAACAGAATACCTAGACAAACTAAGTGCTCTGTAAATATTCACCGAATAAACATTAAAGTTTGTTGATTTTTTTCCAATGAAAATTTCACTTGGGGAATTTTCTTTTTTAATATTTAAAAAAAGTTTATAGGTACATAGTAGGTTTATATATTTATGCAGTACATGAGATGTTTTGATATAGGTATGCAATGTAAAATAAGCACATCACGAAGAATGGGGTATCCTTACAGTCATGCATTTGTCCTTTGAGTTACAAACAATGCAATTATACACTTTAAATTATTTTAAAATATACAATTAAGTTGTTGTTGACTATAGTCACCCTATTGTGCTATCAAAAATTGAGCTACCTTATGATCCTGCAGTTCCACTGCTGGTATATAACCAAAAGAAAGGAAATCAGTAAATCGAAGGGATGTCTGCACTCCCATGTTTGTGCTGCAAGCACTGTTTACAATAATTAAGATTTGGAAAGAATAAGAAATTTATTGATTTTTGAAAAAAGTCCTTTTAAATGTGAAAGAGAAATAGAAATTACAGTAATACTTAAGTAATGACTTACTGCAACTCTTTCAAAGGCAGAGACCATCAAAATCCTATAGATGTGAAACTAATAACATGAATTATTAGTTTCATGTGTGGGGTCAACTTACTTTCTTACTTTCTTTTCATATTCTGTAGAGTCCTAGCTTTCATTACTGATTTTGGAAGTGTATGTCTTTTCTTTTTCTTTGTTAGTTTTGGGCTAAAGGTTATCAAATTTCTCTATCTTTTCTTTTCTTTTTTTTTTTTTTTTTTTTGAGATGGAGTTTTGCTCTTGTTGCCCAGGCTGGAGTGCAATGGCACGATCTCAGCTCACTGCAACCTCCACCTCCTGGGTTCAAGCGATTTTCATGCCCCAGCCCCCTAGTAGCTGGGATTACAGGTGCCCGCCACCACGCCCAGATAATTTTTGGTATTTTTAGTTGAGACGGGGTTTCACTATGTTGGCCGGGCTGGTCTTGAACTCCTGACCTCAGGCGATCCATCTGCCTCAGCCTCCCAAAGTGCTGGGATTACAGGCATGAGCCACCATGCCTGGCTTCTCTATCTTTTCAAAGAGCCACATTTTGGTTTCATCAATTTTTAATTTTTTGTTTTGTATATTATTGATTTCCACTCTGATTTTTATTATTTCTTTCCTTGTAATTACTTTGGGTTTGATTTGTTATTCTTTTTTTTAATTTTTGTTTTAGGTTTGGAGGTATATGTGAAGGTTTATTACATAAATAGACACATGTCACATGGGTTTGTCATACATATTATTACATCACCCAGGTATTAATCTTATTACACAAGAGTTATTATTTCTGCTCCTCTTCCTCCTCCCACCCTCCCCCCTCAAGTAGACCCCAGTGTCTGTTGTTTCCTGTTCCTTCTTTGTGTTTATATGTTCTTATCATTTAGCTCTCACTTATAAGTGAGAACATGAAGTATTTGGTTTTCTGTTCTTGTGTTAGTTTACTAAGGATGATAGCCTCCCACTCCATCCATGTTCTTGCAGAAGACATGATCTTATTCTTTTTTGTGGCTGCATAATATTCCATGGTATATATGTACCACATTTTATTATCCAGTCTGTCATTGATGGGCATTTAGGTTGATTCTATGTCTGTGCTATTGTGAACAGTGCTACAGTGAACATTTACATGCATATGTCTTTGTGGTAGCATGCTTTATATTCCTCTGGGTGTGTACCCAGTAATGGGATTTCTGGGTCAAATGGTAGTTCTGCTGTTAGCTCTTTGAGGAATTGCCATACTGCTTTCTACCATAGTTGAACTACTTTACACTCCCATCAACAGTGTATAAGGGTTCCATTTTCTCTGCAACCTCACCAATATCTGTTATTTTTTTGACTTTTAATTAGTAGCCATTTTGACTGGTATGAGATGGTATCTCATTGTGGTTTTGATTTGCATTTCTCTAATGATCAGTGATTTTGAGATTTTTTTCATATGCTTGTTGGCTGCATGTATGTCTTCTTTTGAGAAGTGTCTGTTCATGTCCTTGCCCACTTTTTAATGGGGTTGTTTTATTTTCTCTTGTAAATTTGTTTAAGTTCTTTTTAGATGCTGGATTTTAGACCTTTGTCAGATGCATAGTTTGCAAATATTTACTCCCATTCTGTAGGTTGTCTGTTTATTCTGTTGATAGCTTCTTTTGCTGTACAGAAGCTCTTACATTTAATTAGTTCTCATTTGTCAATTTTTGCTTTTGTTGTTATCGCTTTTGATGTCTTTGTCATGAAATCTTTGCCCGTTCCCACGTCCAGGATGATACTGCCTAGGTTGTCTTCCAGGGTTTTTATACTTTGGGGTTTTACATCTAAGTCTTTAATGCATCTCAAGTTGATTTTTGTATATAGTGTAAGGAAGGGGTCTAGCTTCAATCTTCTGCATGTGGCTTGCCAGTTATCCCAGCACTATTTATTGAATAGGAAATCTTTTCCCCATTGATTTTTTTGGATAGCTTTGTCAAACATCAGATGGTCATGTGAGGCTTTATTTCCGGGCTCTCTATTCTGTTCCATAGGCCTATGTGTCTGTGTTTTTGTACCAGTACCATGCTTTTTTGGCTACTGTAGCTTTGTAGTATAGTTTAAATTCAGATAACATGATTCCTCCAGCTTTGTTCTTTTGCTTATAATTGCTTTGGCTATTCAAACTCTTTTTTGGTTCCATATAGAATTTAAAATATGTTTTTCTAGTTCTGTGAAGAATGCCATTGGTAGTTTGATAGAAATAGCATTGAATCTGTAAATTGCTTTAGCTTCTTGAAGTAGAAGTGTTGATTATTGATGATAGATTTATTTGTTTCTAATAAAGCATTTGAAGCTATAAGTTTCACCTTAACAATTGTTTTGGCTGCATCACATTTTATTTTTATTTTTTAGTCTGGCTTCCTGTAAGTCACTTCTTTTGTGTCTGCATTGCTTAGTATTTAGCCAGTGATTTAAGTAGCACTTGTGCTCAAATACCTCAGGCCCATAAGATTTCTACCCTCTTGCCAATGGACCAGTGTGCAATTTGGAGAGCCTATTCAGAATTGTAGCTATTACTCAAGTCTGTCTTGGCTTTTACTTTTTGCTGTAGTTTCTCTCAGGTCTCATAACCTATACCTATAGCCAGGGATATGTGGCAAGCATGTTTCAGCCCTCCTATGACTCATCATTTCTAGGATCCCTTTAAATTTCTGTTCTGTCATAGCCCCAATTGGAGCTGCAACTTCAGATCAGCAAAGCTGTAGGCTTTGCCTATTTGTTTTCTACAAAGTTTACCACTTTGTAAACTTAAAAAGCTTACAGAATCATGGGCTATTGTCTTTGTGTCCCAAATCAAGTCTGCCTCTGGTAGCAAAGTTGCTGTTTTTTTGTTTCATTTTGTTTTGTTTTTTGGTTAGCACCACATTGGCAAAGCTATTGTTCTCAACTGTGGAGCTGGGGAGTGGGATGGGAGTAGCTTCAAGCAAGAAAATCTCAAACTTCTTCTGTTTGTACCAAAAGCTCTGATGATTTTTAAAGAATAGGTGCTTCTCAATCTGTTGTCTGCCTTTGCTTTATTTCCAGAGGCCTGAGATTGTTGTGATTTTTAAATTTTTTTTTCAAATTTATACTTGTGTTGATAGGATTCATTGACCACTTCAGGATGTCATATTCTGAAATCTCTTTGTAGTAGCATTTAAATGCTAATACTTGCTAGCAGCACAGGTACCCATGTTTTCATGTATTTTAGAGTGCCTATCCAACTTTTTCTTTATCTTGTGCTCTTCATTCTTTCCTTTTTTTCAAGGAGATAGAGTGGTGTAGTGAAAAGATTAAACACTTTGAAGACTGACAGCTCTAGGTATAGATCTGAGCAATATATGTATACACTGGAAACTTAATTTTTTTGAAACTCTGTTTACATACCTGTAAAGTTGATGTGATAAGATTTGCCTTATTGGGAAGATTAAACATATTCAGAGCACCTAACACAAAGTATCTGGTACATGGTAGATAACTGGTCAATCACTGTTTTCTCTATTCTTCCCTTCTTTCCCTTTCTATCATTGCAGTTTCTGATACACATTAGATTCTGCAAGATGCCATTTATAGTTCACAGAACACTGTTATTAAAATGGTCAAATGAACAAAAAAAGCTGGTTCCTATCCAGTGAATGTTAATATAGAAATACAATAATATGCTTTATATTTTTGGGTTGTGGGACAATGGTCATGTGGGTTAGCCCACACACTGGCATTTGAACTTTTTTTGCCATCTTCATCAGCTGAGGTGAAAACTTTTGAATATATATTTGACCATGTCTCTTACCAGCTTCTAATTAGTCCTCAAAGTAAAGTCCCAGCTTTTCAAAATAACATACAGGATCCTTCATGAGTTGGGCTCTCTGTGTCTTTCTACCCTCAGTTGTCCCTCCTTCCACTAGGTTTTTCCATAACTCCCTTATTTCCTGACTATGCCAGGCTATTTCATTTTTCAGTTGTATTTGCTCATATAGTTCCTTCTGTATGTATTTGAGGGTTCTATTCTCATCACTTGGTCATTTTCTTTTCATTTTCCATCTACGTGCCCACGTTTTCTGCACACTATGTTGTAAAGATCATTGCATATGTGTCTCTTCCATTAGCCTGAGAGCTTCTTGAGGACAGAAACATTATCTACTTTAATATTTGTATTTCCATTGCCTTGATCATAGATTTCCTGCACAAATGAAGAAACAGCCTGGCCCTCTCTGATAAAAAGATGAAAGATTATATGGTAGCACCAACCACCCCAGTATAGCTCTGGGTTTTGACAATAATCTAAAAATATCTGTGTCTAACAAAAGAAACGCTGTTTTCCTCCTTGCCTGTTAGGGGAATGAGGGAAACAATGTATGTCTTAGTTGATGGTTTAGCAAGATTGAGGTTCAATTTTGGATTTCTTTAAAACAGGGACTGATAACTGTGCTTCTAATCAATTCAGGAGTGGGATTCCAGGTGAAAGCATCTGATTTTCATAGCAGAGCCATTTTGGTGCTCTTTCCTTCGTTACAGTAAACTTGACAATTGCTGATGCAATTGTAGACAGTCGCTTTCTGTTTAAGGGAAACATTAGGCAGTTACTGGTAGATTTCTGACACACCATTACAGACTGCTTCCTATTAGCAGGTAGAGGAAAGACAAATGTATGTGAACCTATTAGTATCAGAATTACATGTCAAAAATCTAGAGCAAAGTTTAATTTATTTCCGTAATAATAAGCAAACCAGAGATTGACTTGACAATTATTTCTACTTCCACTGCTTTTTTTTCTGAGATGAATATTCCAATATAAAATCAATGTGCTTGGACATCTTTCAGTAAATAACAGCCTGTGTGAATTAACATTATCTCATAGGAGCAAAAATTCAATCATTTCTTAAGTGGGAATGAATATTTTATAGTCCTCTCTGGTAAAGAAATACTACAAAGCTACATTATTTCTTACGAAATTTAAAAATTGCTGGAGTAAGAACTAAAGGATGTTAAGTTCTAGCCTTGTTTCCTTCCTATAATAATTGGGTGACCTTCAGCAAGATATGACTACCTGTGTCTTTAATTCACTCAGCTGTATAAACTAATAGATAATAACCACACTACCATTTATTGAATCCCTAAACTGGGCTTTGCCCTACGATACGCTTGCTATAAATTATGTTATTGCATCTTCACAACACATTAATTACCAATATTTTTTCCCATTTTACACATAAAGAAACTGATGATCAGAAAGGTTAAGTAATTTACTCAAGGCCACATAGAGAGTAAAAGGAAGAGCAGGACAAAAATCCCTATCTGTTGGTCTTTCATGTCTCTGTTCTTTTCTTCATTCCTCTTCTTTTGTTTAATCTCACTGATATTAAAACTCCATCTTGCAGTTGCAGCAATAGATTTAAAAGAGCTTTTACATATACAAAGTTAAGACATTGTTATTTTTGCTTCTAGTTCAACTTGGTATCATAAAATTAGTATGGGGTTGTTTTCTATTGATGTTGAGTAGAGAAACTCAGATTTTTTTGAAGCCTTGTGCAGATATTTAAAAGTTTATTCTTGGACCTTTCCTGAGTAGTACTTTTATTCCTACTAGGCCTACAAAATTATATTCTATACTGTTATTTCCTTATAATATTTATGCTTATTTTTTTCCTTCTATTTTCAAATATTTTAAAGATAAATCTACATGCTTTTTTATTTTTATTTTTGAGACAGGGTCTCATTTTGTTGGCCAGGCTAGAGTGCAGGTGTGCAATCACAGCTCGTTGAAGCCTTGACCTCCCCGGCTCAGGTGATCCTCCCACCTCAGCCTCCCAAATAGCAGTAACTATAGGCACGTGCCACCATGGCTGGCTAATTTTTGTAATTTTGTTGACACAGGGCTTTGTCATGTTGCCCAGGCTGGTCTTGAACTCCTGGGCTCAAGTGATCTACCTGCCTTGGCCTTCCAAAGTGCTGGGATTACAGGCATGAGCTACCATGCCTGGCCTACATATTAATATATGTAGACAATATATGTAGTTACATATACTGTGTAAATATACAGTTGGAAAGTGCTTTAACATGTATTATATTATTTGTTTCTCACAACTATCTTCTTGTTTTGATAGTTATAGGTAACTGAAGCTTAGAGAGGCTTGTCTGAGGTCACGAAGCATATTAGTGGCAGAGGTCAATAATCCAGGTCTTCTTATTCCAAGTATGAAGTGCTTTCTATACCAAAACCAAGCTTTGGAGACAATTATAGTAAAGTGCTTACTCCAACAGGCTCTTGATTTAGGCATCTTAAGTTCAAATTTTGGCTCCAGCTGTATGCCCTTGAGCCAATTATTTAACCTCTTGGTAAATCTGACTCCTCACTATAAAATAAGGATGGTAATGGTACCTATTTAATAGAGTTCTTGTGAGTATTAAATAATACATGTAAAATGCTTAGCATAGTGATTAATACATAGTAAGCACTCAATAAATTTTAGCTCTCATCTATTTTTGTGCATTGGTTCAGTATTTTAAGTGGTAATTATGTAAGGATATAAACCATTTGTAAAGCCATTTTTTAATTTTAATTTTTATTTATATATTTATTTATTTATTTATTTTGAGACAGAGTCTCACTCTGTCTTCCAGGTTGTAGTACAGTGGTGCAATCTCTGCTCACTGCAACCTCCACCTCCCAGGTGCAAGCCATTCTCCTGCCTCAGCCTCCTGAGTAGCTGGGATTACAGGTGCTTGCCACCACCCCTGGCTAATTTGTGTATTTTTAGTAGAGACAGGGTTTCACCATGTTGGCCAGGCTGGTCTCGCAACACCTGACCTCAAATGATCCACCCGCTTGGGCCTTCCAAAGTGCTAGGCTTACATGCATGGGCCACTGTGCCTGGCCTGTAAAGCCATTTAAACTAAATAAACTCTGAATTCATTAATTCAATGAACATTTGTTGAATGCCTCCTATGAGCCTGGTAGTTGCTAGACATAGAGAGCAGAGGGGTATACAAGATAAGGGTTGCTGCTCTCAAGGGGCTATTACTAAGAAGAAAACTTAAAGCTAGGTGTGGTGGTATGTGCCTGTAGTCCCAGCTACTGTTGAGGTAGGAGGATTGCTTGATGCCAGGTGTTCGAGTTCAGCCTGGGCAACATAGCAAGAAAAAAAATTTTTTAAAAATTTTAAAAATATTAAAATATTTTTAAAAATTTAAAAAAGATTTAGTGTGTACTTCTTTGTTAAAAAAAAAAAACTTAAGACACAGATGAACAAGAAGACCAATTTTATTGACTACTGTAGGCACCTGACTTTAGAAGGGTCTGTTTGATGTATGTGTTAATTTAATTTGTTAAAAACCAAAAAGCAAAATTTTAAAAGCAGATGTAAAAACTGTCATTGGGTTTTCATTTTCATTAAGTGAAAAATTATTTCACTTAAAGAGTTGTTCATGTATGGAGAATGTCCCTTTTAGAAATCCTATAACAAAAATGAGAGATACAAACAAAATTCATGGTTTGATGGTTAATTGAGAACTTTTTTTGCATGGAGACAGATTTTCTTGGTCTCTTTTTAGAAAAATTAAGAATAGAGAATCTTGGCAATTATAATATTTGTGTTGTTGATTATAATGATATCTATAAATTTAGTAAGTGCTTACCATATGCCACACATTGTACTAGGTGCCTTATAGATAATATAAAGCCTCACAAATACTATGAATTAAGTAATATTATTTCTATTTAACAGATGAAGGAACTCAGTCTTACAGAGGAGAAATAACTTGCCTAGCCTAATACAGTTTGTAGAACTGGGCTTCAAGCCCAGGACTGTCTGTTGCCAGATCCTGTGTTGGAATTGGATACCAAAAATAAAAACAAAAACAAAAACAAAAAAAACAGGCCATTTGGATCTCAGCTTTAAACTTTAGTCTTGCTTCACTGTATTCAAAGTCTATTAGGATTGTTGGAGCTGTAGGGTACTATAGGAAGTAAGGGTAACTGCTGGATATGATTGGGGTTGTAAGTGGTTAATTCTGATAAAGAATCTTACATATGGTACTATACTGTTTTCTAACACTCTGGAAATAGACAAAATATTTCAAACAATAGGTTGTGATTTCTAAAAATTTCTTAATATTCATTTAAGAGTAACTCTACCAAAGTAATATAGTTACTAAGGTTTCCAAATCACTTCTGCATTACACAAGTTTTGTATTATTAGTTCACTGAAATATTTACCGTGGCATGAAGGAGATGCTTCTGAATTTATATCTTCATTAGATTTAGCATATAGCACCTAACTGTAAATTTGTTTATGATCTTCCTTAATTTCTTTAAGTAGTCTAACATACTGAATACTGTTTGTATTATATTGGCATCAAATTTACAGTGAGAATCTTGTTAATATATATCCATGGCTAAAATTCTTAACTAAAAGCAATATTATGTTTCTACAGAAAGCTGTCAGAAATGTGGGATACACTGAATATGAGCCAAAGATACCAATCTCAGAAAGAAATTTGGAATAAAAGTGTTATTATGCACCGTTGAAATTTCATCATTACCATATTCCCTTGAATTGATCAGAAAGAAGCAATGTCATCTTGACTTTTGCTGATGCTTTATTACTAGTAATAATAGATTAGCTATGTTCTTGAAATATTAACCAGGTAAAGAAATATCTTGGTATTCTAGCATTTCTGCAATTAGAAAATTATTAACAAAGGAAAAGCATTTTTTGAAAATATGTACTAGCTTTATAAGACTACATTAAAAATTATGTATATGTGTTCTATTCAAGAATATATACCTATGCTGTAATTGCTATATTTTAAAATAAGTTAACATGGTATAGAGAAGAAAACAGGATGGTTTCTTGAGACACAACTTTTTATGACAATACTCATCATTTTTACTCCATTGTCTTCTGACATTTCATCTTAAAGAGGAGAAATATAAAACTTTAATTGTATTTATTCATTTGTAGATAATGTGTTGTGCTTTTTTCCTAGATGCTACAAGCTTTCTTCTTTCATTGCTGTAACTCAAGCATGTCACCAGAACATGTTTTTATTTAGGACTTATCCCCTGAATTCTATAAAAAATAATTTTCATACTTGGGCCTTTCTACTCCTCTCTAAGTTTTCTTCAATTATGTCTTTATTACTACTCTTGTTTGAATGATTTTACTCTTTTTTCTTGGAATGACTTATAACTCCTGTTCTGTTTTCTGGTTCTCAATATCATATCCTCTCTGTTGCTTCAAACTGTACTTTTTCTCTTTTCTTTTGCATTCAGGAAGACCATTCTTACTTTTCATATCCATTTTATTGGTTATATTTAAATGATATTTCTTCTCTTTCACTCCTATTCCCAATGGATATTTTAACCCTATTGTTTGTATTTTTTGTTTCCTTATACTCTTTTGGTACCAAATTATTTTTTTCATTTCTACTGTCATATCTTATTCTGTTATCATTTTCTATCTGTTCATTCTATTGTAGTGGCTTCTCATTTATGTATTGCAGAGGCCACATGTGTTAATTATGGTACCACTAATTGTTGTTACAAAGTGACTCAGTATTTCAGTGGCTGAGCACAATAGAGTTCTATTAATCACTCATATAATAATTCAATGCAGATTCCTGGTTGGCTGGTGGTTATCCTCCACATGTGAATTCAGAGACCCAAATGCTTTCATTTTTGTGACTTCATAGTCTCATATTGCAAAGCCTTCTGTATCCATCTGTGTTTATATTCAGAGGTAAATAAAAAGTTGAAAAATCCGACCCACTTTTTAAAAGTTCTAGTTTAGAAGTAGCACACATCACATCTATTCACATTCCCATTGGCAAGAATTAGTTGCACAGCAACATGTCAGTATAGGAGGTACTGGGAAATTTAGCCCTAGCTGTGCAGCAAAAACTCTGTGCTATGGGAAGGAAACAAAATTTTGGTGGACAGCAAGTTGTCTCTGCCCTTCTATGTCTTCTTATATTCCATTGATGGTGCTAAACATTTTCTAAATTTGTCTTCATGCTTTAGTAAATAACTTTTCAGAGTTAAACTCCTCCAGTGTGTTTTAAGAGTGATTTTCTCTTTTTCATTTTTTGCCACTTTCTTTCACAAGCCTTAAGTTGACAGTTTTCTCTATTTCACTTGGAACAAAGAGAGACTTATCTAAACCCAGTATGTGCCAAGAAGCATCATTTGTGGTATGTTTTTGATCCTGCTTACTGTCCATTTATATGTAGAAGCTTCTACACAGATTTGCAGTTGAGAAGCTGATGTGCACGGTTCTTTTCTTGATTTCATTTTGATCTTATGTGCTTTTCTGGATGAAGCTGAGAACCTTAACTGCCTGATTCTTTCATTCTCCAAATGTAGAGAATGCACAGGAGTTTTCCTATTTCCATCAATGCTTATGAAGTGTTAGAACTTAGGATAGAGTGTGTCATTGTAATTGCCAGGATTGAAAGTACTTGAATCTATATAGAATTTGATGTAAAATGCATTGTATCTCTTCCTAGTGTTTGGATATCAAAAACTTCAGATTTCTAGGCCAAAAACAAATAAAAGTTGAGGCATAACGTAACTCTCTGCCTCTCTCACCTGCAATTTTGTGCTATTTCAGGTGGCACAGCATGTTGGCCATCACTTACCATTTCATTTTCCACTGTATATGTCTTTTTAATGAGTGGAAAGTTCTCCTAAATTCTGTCAATATGTTGGCTGTCAAATTTACTTGTCATTGTGTTAAAAGATGTTTCCCTTCGCCTTCTTTTTTGTCTTTTAAACTATTTTTGAGGGAAATTGGAAAAGGCTGAGTGGAAGACTATTATATGGCTAATGTTTTAAATCCAAATATTTCACTTTCCATTTCTACACATATTTAAAGTGTATAATTTGGTAAGTTTATATATGTATATATATTACACATATATAATGTATGTATGTGTTATATATATACATATATATATATTCTGTGAGACTGTGATGACAATCAAGATAATGAAAATATTCATTAGCCCAAAAGTTTCCTCATTCTTCTTTGTAAATCCCAGCCTCCTCCACCCATGTTATAGATTTTTATTTAAAAGAAATAATATATTATTATTTCTTTTTGTCTGGCTTATTTTACTCAGCATGATTACTTGAGATTTATTTTTGTTGTTACATGTATCAATAATAAATTATTTTTATTGCCAGCTAATGTAATTGCATGGTTATAGCACCATTTGTTTATCCATTCACCTGTTGATAGACATTTGGGTTGTTTCCAGTTTTGGGTCATTACAAAGAAGGCTGGTATGGACATTTCTATACAAGACTTTGTTTCTCTTGGGTAAATGCCTATAATTAGGATGGCTGGGTTACATGATAGATATATTTATAACTTTTTGGAAAATATCCAAAGAGCTTTCCAAAGTAGTTGTACCATTTTACATTCCCACCAACAGTGTACAACGGCTGGCCAACACTTGATAGATGTGCGTGTCTCTTTTGCATTGCTATAAAGGAATACTTTAGACTGGGTAATTTATAAAGAAATATGTTTATTTGGCTCATGATTCTGTAGGCTTTACAAGAAGCATAGTGCCAGCATTTGCTTCTGATGAGGCTTCAGGAAGCTTACATGGCAGAAGGCAAAGGGGTAATCAGTGTATCAGATGGTCAGAGAGGGTGCAAGAGCGAGAGAAGGGAAGTTCCAGATTCTTAATAACCAGATCTTGCTTGAACACACAAAGTGAGATCTCACTCATTACCACAAGGATAGCACAAAGCCATTCATGAGGGAGCTGTTCCCATGACCCAAACGCCTCCCACTAAGCCCAATTCCAACATTGGAAGTCACATTTCAACATGAGACTTGGAGGGAACAAAACATCCAAACCACAGGACTATTCTTTTTAGTTTGAGATAGTTTGATAGGTGTGTAGTGGTATCTCTCTGGGGTTTTAATCTGCATTTTCCTAATGACTAGTTATGTTGAATTTTCTTTTATGTGGTTATTTGCCATAGGTATATCTTTCTTGGTGAAGTGTCAATTTCAAATATTTTGCAAATTTTTATTTTTAAGTTTTGGGGTACATGTGCAGGATATGCAGGTTTGTTACATAGGTAAATGTGTGCCATGGTGATTTGCTGCACTTATCAACCCATCACCTAGGTATTTAGCCCAGCATGCATTAGCTATTTTTCCTAATGCTCTCCCTCCCCCTGCATGACCCCCCAACAGGCCACAGTGTGTGTTGTTCTCCTCCCTTTGTTCATGTGTTCCCATTGTTCAGCTCCCACTTACAAGTGAGAACATGTGGTATTTGTTTTTCTGTTCCTGTGTTAGTTTGCTGATGATAATAGCTTCCAGCTCCATCCATGTCCCTGGAAAGGACATGATCTCAATCTTTTTTATGACTCCATAGTATTCCATGGTGTATATGCACCACATTTTCTTTATCCAATCTATCATTGATGGGCATTTGACTTGATTGCACATCTTTGTTATTGTGAATAGTGCTGCAGTGAACATACATGTGCATATATCTTTGTAATAGAACAATTTATATTCCTTTGGGTATATACCCAGTAATGGGATTGCTGGGTCAAATGGTATTTCTGGTTCTAGATACTTGATGAATTACCACACTGTCTTCCACAATTGTTGAACTAATTTCCATTCCTACCAACAGTGTAAAAGCATTTCTATTTCTCCACAACCTCGCCAACATCTATTATTTCTTGACTTTTTAACAATAGCCATTCTGACTGGTGCAAGATAGTATCTCATTGTGGTTTTGATTTGCGTTTCTCTAATGATCAGTGATGTTAAGCTTTTTTTCATGTTTGTTGGCTGCATAAATATATTCTTTGGAGAAGCGTCTGTTCATGTCCTTTGCCCACTTTTTAATAGGGTTGTTTCTTTTTTCTTGTAAATTTGTTTGAGTTCCTTGTAGATTCTAGATATCAGATCTTTGTCAGAAGGATAGATTGAAAAAATTTTCTCCTACTTTGTAGTTGCCTGTTCAGTCTGATGATATAGTTTCTTTTGCTGTGCAGAAGCACTTTAGTTTAATTAGCTCCTATTCATCATTTTTTTGCTTTTGTTGCAATTGCTTTTTGTGATTTTGTCATGAAATCTTTGCTTATGCCTATTCCCTGAATGGTATTGCCTGGATTTTCTTCTTGGGTTTTTATAGTTCTGGGTTTTACATCGAAGTCTTTTATCCGTCTTGAGTTAATTGTTGTATAAGGTGTAAGTAAAGGTACTGGTGCTGTTTCGGTTACTGTAGCCTTGCATTTGCTGAGGAGTGATTTACTTCCAAATATGTGATTGATTTTAGAGTAAGTGCCATGTAACACTGAGAAAAAGATATTCTCTTGTTTTGGGGTGGCAAGTTCTGTATATATCTATCAGGTCCACTTGGTCCAGAGCTGAGTTCAAGTCTTGAATGTCTTTGTTAATTTTCTGTCTCAATGATCTGTCTAATATTGACACTGGGTGCATTGTTGTGCGTGAGTCTAAGTCTCTTTGTAGGTCTCTAAGAAGTTGTTTTGTGAATCTGGGTGTGTGTATACTTAGGATGGTTAGCACTTCTTGTTGAATTGAACCCTTTACCATTATGTAATGCCCTTCTTTGTATTTTTTGATGTTTGTTGGTTTAAAGTCTGTTTTGTCTGAAAGTGGACTGCAACTTCTGCTTTTTTCTGTTTTACATTTGCTTGATAAATTTTCCTCCATCCCTTTATTTTGAGCCTGCATGTGAAATGGGTCTCTTGCATACAGCACACCAATAGGTCTTGACTCTATCCAGCTTGCCATTCTGTGTCTTTTAATTGGGGCATTTAACCCATTTACATTTAAGGTTAATATTATTATGTGTGAAATTGATCCTGTTAGCATGATGCTAACTGGTTATCTTGTAGACTTGTTTATGTAGTTTCTTCATGATGTCATTGGTCTGTGTACTTCAATGTGTTTTTTTAGTGGCTGATAATGGTATTTCCTTTCCATATTTAATGCTTCCTTCAGGAGCTCTTGCAAGGCAGGCCTAGTGGTGACAAATTCCCTCAGCATTTGCTTATCTGAAAAAGATTTTATTTCTCCTTTGTTTATGAAGCTAGTTTTGTTGGATATACAATTTTAGGTTGAAAATTTTTTTTCTTTTTATTTTTTTATTATACTTTAAGTTCTAGGGTACATGTACACAGCATGCAGGTTTGTTACATATGTATACATGTGCCATGTTGGTGTGCTGAACCCATTAACTCGTCATTTACATTAGGTATATCTCCTAATGCTATCCCTCCCCCCATTCCCCCACCCCACAACAGGCCCCGGTGTGTGATGTTCCCCTTCCTGTGTCCAAGTGGTCTCACTGTTCAATTCCCACCTGTGAGTGAGAACATGCGGTGTTTGGTTTTTTGTCCTTGCGATAGTTTGCTGAGAATGATGATTTCCAGCTTCATCCATGTCCCTACAAAGGACATGAACTCATCATTTTTCATGGCTGCATAGTATTCCATGGTGTATATGTGCCACATTTTCTTAATCCAGTCTATCATTGATGGACATTTGGGTTGGTTCCAAGTCTTTGCTATTGTGAGTAGTGCCACAATAAACATATGTGTGCATGTGTCTTTATAGCAGCATGATTTATATTCCTTTGGGTATATACCCAGTAATGGGATGGCTGGGTCAAATGGTATTTCTAGTTCTAGATCCCTGAGGAATCGCCACACTGAATTCCACAATGGTTGAACGAGTTTACAGTCCCACCAACAGTGTAAAAGTGTTCCTATTTCTCCACATCCTCTCCAGCACCTGTTGTTTCCTGACTTTTTAATGATCACCCTTCTAACTTGTGTGAGATGATATCTCATTGTGGTTTTGATTTGCATTTCTCTGATGGCCAGTGATGATGAGCATTTTTTCATGTGTCTGTTGGCTGCATAAATGTCTTCTTTTGAGAAGTGTCTGTTCATATCCTTCACCCACTTTTTGATGGGGTTGTTTGTTTTTTTCTTGTAAATTTGTTTGAGTTCATTGTAGATTCTGGAGATTAGCCGTTTGTCAGATGAGTAGATTGCAAAAATTTTCTCCCATTCTGTAGGTTGCCTATTCACTCTGATGGTAGTTTCTTTTGCTGTGCAGAAGCTCTTTAGTTTAATTAGATCCCATTTGTCAATTTTGTCTTTGGTTGCCATTGCTTTTGGTGTTTTAGACATGAAGTCCTTGCCCATGCCTATATCCTGAATGGGATTGCCTAGGTTTTTTTCTAGGGTTTTCATGGTTTGAGGTCTAATGTGTAGTCTTTAATCCATCTTGAATTAATTTTTGTATAAGGTATAAGGAAGGGATCCAGTTTCAGCTTTCTACATATGGCTAGCCAGTTTTCCCAGCACCATTTATTAAATAGGGAATCCTTTCCCCATTGCTTGTCTTTGTCAGGTTTGTCAAAGATCAGATAGTTGTAGATGTGTGGTATTATTTCTGAGGACTCTGTTCTGTTCCATTGGTCTATATCTCTGTTTTGGTACCAGTACCATGCTGTTTTGGTTACTGTGGCCTTGTAGTATAGTTTGAAGTCAGGTAGCATGATGCTTCCAGCTTTGTTCTTTTGGTTTAGGATTGTCTTGGCAATGTGGGTTCTTTTTTGGTTCCCTATGAACTTTAAAGCAGTTTTTTCCAATTCTGTGAAGAAAGTCATTGGTAGCTTGATGGGGATGGCATTGAATCTATAAATTACCTTGGGCAGTATGGCCATTTTCACGATATTGATTCTTCCTATCCGTGAGCATGGAATGTTCTTCCATTTGTTTGTGTCCTCTCTTATTTCCTTGAGCAGTGGTTTGTAGTTCTCCTTGAAGAGGTCCTTCACATCCCTTGTAAGTTGGATTCCTAGGTATTTTATTCTCTCTGAAGCAATTGTGAATGGGAGTTCACTCATGATTTGGCTCTCTGTTTGTCTGTTATTGGTGTATAAGAATGTTTGTGATTTTTGCACATTGATTTTGTATCCTGAGACTTTGCTGAAGCTGCTTATCATCTTAAGGAGATTTTGGTCTGAGACGATGGGGTTTTCTAGATATACAATCATGTCATCTGCAAAGAGGGACAATTTGACTTCCTCTTTTCCTAATTGAATACCCTTTATTTCTTTCTCCTGTCTGATTGCTCTGGCCAGAACTTCCAACACTATGTTGAATAGGAGTGGCGAAAGAGGGCATCCCTGTTTTGTACCAGTTTTCAAAGGGAATGCTTCCAGTTTTTGCCCATTCAGTATGATATTGGCTGTGGGTTTGTCATAAGTAGCTCTTATTATTTTGAGATATGTCCCATCAATGCCGAATTTATTGAGAGTTTTTAGCATGAAAAGTTGTTGAATTTTGTCGAAGGCCTTTTCTGCATCTGTTGAGATAATCGTGTGGTTTTTGTCTTTGGTTCTGTTTATATGCTGGATTATGTTTATTGATTTGCGTATGATGAACCAGCCTTGCATCCCAGGGATGAAGCCCACTTGATCATGGTGGATAAGCTTTTTGATGTGCTGCTGGATTCGGTTTGCCAGTATTTTATTGAGGATTTTTGCATCAACGTTCATCAGGGATATTGGTCTAAAATTCTCTTTTTTTGTTGTGCCTCTGCCCGGCTTTGGTATCAGGATGATGCTGGCCTCATAAAATGAGTTAGGGAGTATTCCCTCTTTTTCTATTGATTGGAATAGTTTCAGAAGGAATGGTACCAGCTCCTCCTTGTACCTGTGGTAGAATTCGGCTGTGAATCTGTCTGGTCCTGGAGTTTTTTTGGTTGGTAAGCTATTAATTATTGCCTCAATTTCAGAGCCTGTTATTGGTCTTTTAAGAGATTCAACTTCTTCCTGGTTTAGTCTTGGGAGGGTGTATGTGTCGAGGAATTTATCCATTTCTTCTAGATTTTCTAGTTTATTTGCGTAGAGGTGTTTATGGTATTCTCTGATGGTAGTTCATATTTCTGTGGGATTGGTGGTGGGATCCCCTTTATCATTTTTTTTTTTTTTGAGACGGAGTCTCACTCTGTCGCCCAGGCTGGAGTGCAGTGGCACGATCTTGGCTCACTGCAACCTCCGCCTCCCAGGTTCAAGCTATTCTCCTGCCTCAGCCTCCCCAGTAACTGGGATTAAAGGCACATGCCACCATGCCCAGCTAATTTTTGTATTTTTAATAGAGACGGGGTTTCACCAGGTTGGTCAGGCTGGTCTTGAACTGCTGACCTCATGATCTGCCCACCTCGGCCTCCCAAAGTGCTGGGATTATAGGCACTAGCCACCACGCCCAGCACCCCCTTTATGATTTTTTATTGCATCTATTTGAATATTCTCTCTTTTCTTTATGAGTCTTGCTAGCAGTCTATCAATTTTGTTGATCTTTTCAAAAAACCAGCTCCTGGATTCATTGATTTTTTGAAGAGATTTTGTATCTCTATCTCCTTCAGTTCTGCTCTGATCTTAGTTATTTCTTGCCTTCTGCTAGCTGTTGAATGTGTTTGCTCTTGCTTTTCTAATTCTTTTAATTGTGATGTGAGGGTGTCAATTTTAGATCTGTCCTGCTTTCTCTTGTAGGCATTTAGTGCTATAAATTTCCCTCTACACACTGCTTTAAGTGTGTCCCAGAGATTCTGGTATGTTGTGTCTTTGTTCTCATTGGTTTCAAAGAACATCTTTATTTCTGCCTTCAAATTCAGGAAATACAGAGAATGCCACAAAGATACTACTCGAGAAGAGCAACTCCAAGACACTTAATTGTCAGATTCACCAAAGCTGAAATGAAGGAAAAAATGTTAAGGGCAGCCAGAGAGAAAGGTTGGGTTACCCGCAAAGGGAAGCCCATCAGACTAACAGCTGATCTCTTGGCAGAAACTCTACAAGCCAGAAGAGAGTGGGGGCTAATATTCAACATTCTTAAAGAAAAAAATTTTCAACCCATAATTTCATATCCAGCCAAACTAAGCTTCATAAAAGTGAAGGGGAAATAAAATCCTTTAGAGACAAGCAAATGCTGAGAGATTTTGTCACCACCAGGCCTGCCCAACAAGAGCTTCTGAAGGAAGCACTAAACATGGAAAGGAACTGGTACCAGCATAACCGGTATGAGCATCTGCAAAAACATGCCAAATTATAAAGACCATTGATGCTAGGAAGAAATTGCATCAGCTAACAAGCAAAATAACCAGCTAACATCATCATGACAGGATCAAATTCACACATAACAATATGAACCTTAAATGTAACTGGGCTAAATGCTCCAGTTAAAAGACACAGACTGGCAAATTGGATAAAGAGTCAAGATCATCAGTGTTCTGTATTCAGGAAACCGATCTCACGTGCGGAGACACACATAGGCTCAAAATAAAGGGATGGAGGAAGATCTACCAAGCAAATGGAAAGCAAAAAAAGGCAGGGGTTGCAATCCTAGTCTCTGATAAAACAGACTTTAAACCAACAAAGATCAAGAGAGACAAAGAAGGCCATTATATAATGATAAAGCGATCAATTCAACAAGAAGAGCTAACTATCCCAAATATATATGCTGCCAATGCAGGAGCACCCAGATTCATAAAGCAAGTCCTTAGAGACCTACAAAGAGACTTAGACTCCCACACAATAATAATGGGAGAGTTTAACCCCCACTGTCAACATTAGACAGATCAACGAGACAGAAAGCTAACAAGGATATCCAGGAATTGAATTCAGCTCTGCACCAAGCAGACCTAATAGACATCTACAGAACTCTCCACCCCAAATCAACAGAATATACATTCTTCTCAAAACCACAGCTCACCTATTCCAAAATTGACCACATAGTTGTAAATAAAGCACTCCTCAGCAAATGTAAAAGAACAGAAATTATAACAAACTGTCTCTCAGACCACAGTGCAATCAAACTAGAACTCAGGATTAAGAAACTCAGTCAAAACCGCTGAACTACATGGAAATTGAACAACCTGCTCCTGGACATTTTTTTCTTTAAGAATGTTGAATATTGGCCCCCAATCTCTTCTGGCTTGTAGGGTTTCCACTAAGAGGTCTGCTGTTAGTCTGTTGGATTTCCTTTTATAGGTGACCTGGCCTTTCTCTCTGGCTGCCCTTAAAATGTTTTCTTTCGTTTCGATCTTGGAGAATCTGATGATTATGTGTCTTGGGGTTGGTCTTCTCATGGAGTACTTTACTGGGGTTGTCTGTATTTCCTGAATTTGTACATTGGACTATCTTGCTAGGTTGGGGAAGTTCTCCTAGATGATATCCTGAAGTGTGTTTTTGAACTTGGTTCCATTCTCCCGGTCTCTTTCAGATACCTCTATCAGTCGTACGTTCAGTCTTTTTATATAATCCCATAGTTCTCGGAGGTTTTGTTTGTTACTTTTCATTCTTTTTTCTCTAATCTCATCTACCTTCCATAATTCAGCAAGACAGTCTTCAAGCTCTTATATCCTTTCTTCTGCTTGGTCTATTTGGCTGTTGATACTTGTGTTTGCATTGTGAACTTCTCATGTTGTGTTTTTCAGCTCCGTCAGGTCAGTTATATTCATCTCTAAACTGTTTTATTTTCTAGTTAACAGTTCCTGTAATGTTTTGTCATGCTTCTTCATTTCTTTGCAATGAGTTAGAACATAATCCTTTAGCTAGTAAAGTTTGTTATTACCCATCTTCTGAAGCCTACTTCTTCCAATTCATCCATTTCAGCCTTAGCGCAGTTCTGTGCCCTTGCTGGAGACGTGTTGTGATCATTTGGAGGAGAAGAGGCACTCTGGCTTTTTGAGTTTTCAGCATTTTTATGTTGATTCTTTCTCATCTTCATGGGTTTATCTACTTTTGATCTTTGAGATGCTGACCTTGGATGTGGTTTTGTGGGGTGTTTTTCATTTATGTTGTTGTTGTTTCTTTGCACTTGTTTTTCTTTTAGCAATCAGACCCCTCTTCCTTAGGGTTGCTGCGTTTTGCTTGGGGTCCACTCCAGACCCTATTCACTTGGGTCCCTCCTGCCCCTGGAGTTATCACCAGTGGAGGCTGCAGAATAGCAAAGATGTCAGCCTGTTCCTTACTGTAGGAGCTCTGTCTCAGAGGGTCACTGACCTGATGCTGGCTGGAATGCTCCTGCATGAGGTTTCTGGAGACTCCTGTTGGGAGGTCTCACCCAGTCAGGCGGAGTGGGATCAGGGACCCACTTAAATAAGGGGTCTGGCTTCCCCTTGGCAAAGCGGGTGTGCTGCAGTTGGGCAGAATCCTCGGGCTACCCTGACTCCTGAGAGCCAGCAGTTAGAAAAGACTAAGACCACTGATTGACAATACTGCAGCCGCCCCTCTTCCTAGGAGCTTCTCTCAGGGATATCAGAGTTCTGTTTATAAACCCCTGGTTGGGGATGCTGAAATTCTCACAGAGGGGTTCTTCCTGGTTAGGAGTGGATCTGGGTCCCGCTGTCTGGCCTTGAACTGTCCCAGCTGCTGTGCTGCGCTGTGGGGAATTGCTCCTTGTCCAAATTGCCCAGTCTTGCTGGCACTGGCAGCAGGGGAAAACAACCAACTGGAGCCCTAGTGATGGTGGCCATCCCTACCCATTGCCAGTACTCAGTCTTCTTAGGCAGTCTCCAGCCTGCTGTGCCTCACTGGAGTTTCCAGAACCAGACAATGCAAAAACTCCTGTGTCTCAGTGCCTGCTCGAGCAGCCACCTACCCGAGCAGTCCCTGTGAGTCTGCACAGCTATGTGCTTGGGGTCATGAGGGACTTCCTTATTTGTGGGTTGCAAGGATCTGTGGGAAAAGCAAGATGATGTCCTTCTTGTATAATAGCTTTCAGGTGTTCTCTATATTTCTTGTATTTGGATGTCTACCTCTACAGCAAGAGCATGGAAATTTTCTTGAATTATTTCCTCAAATATGTTTGCCAAGTTGTCTACTCTTTTTTCCTTCTGTCTCTGAAATGCCTGTACATCATTAGGTTTGGTAATTTTCCATAATCTTATGTTTCTTGAAGGCTTTGTTCATTAAATAAATTTTTTTTGCTTTGTTTTTGACTGATTGGGCTAATTAGAAAGACTGGCCTTCAAGCTCTGAAATTCTTCCTTATGCTTGGTCTAGCCTATTGCTGAAGCTCTCAACTATATTTTGGAATTAATTCAGTGAATTTTTCATTTCCAGAAATTCTTTTTTATTATATCTTGTCTTTCACATCCTGAATTGTTTTTTTCTAGTTTCTTTGTGTTGATTTTTAACTTTCTCTTGGCACTCATTGAGCTTTCTTACAATATATATTTTGAATTCTTAATCATCATTTTAGAATTTTAATTTTGGTCAGGATCCATTGTAGAGAGCTAGTGCAATCCTTTGGTGGTGTCAAAAACTTTGTCTTTTTGTACTGCCAGAGTTCTTGCACTAATTCCTTCTCGTCTCAAGAAGCTGTCACTTCTTATTTTGAATTTGCTGTTGTTTGAGTGGGATTTCTTTTTTTTTAATTTGTACCTTGAGAATGTGACTGCAGTGTATCTTGTGTATGTTTCTTTGGCTTTGTTTCTGGATGCTTTCAGGGGCCAAGGCTCTGAATAAGTTCCTTGGTGTTATGGGTAGCTTTTGTGTGGTGGCTTTCTCAAATGCTGCTTGTTGTAGTAATGTGTTTGGCATATGAGCCAAACACACAATCTTCTGCAAGATTGGAAATGCGGAGGTCTCAGGAAGCGTCTGTCTTACATTAGCTCTATGCCCTTCTGATAGCAGATTTCTTACATGGTGGGGCAGTTAAGTCTTCAGTCCAGTAGGTGGTGTTTAAGAGTAGGCACTAGCTCCTTCTTTCACAGCCTGATAACTAATGAAAGGACCCTCTTTGATGGGGTTGGCAGGGGAAATTTGTGTTGGGATGTGCTGAGGTCTTGGGGAGAGGGGTAGGGGGCGCTGCACCAGTTCCTTGTCCTGGGCAGGCAGGAACACAATCCTTTTCCCTATCATGCCCTTGTTGCAAGGTTTATGATCTTCAATTAATAGACTTGTGCTTTATCTCCCAGCCACAGTGCAACTGAGATTCTTGAAATAAACCTCTCTGGCTGCTACCACAAAAGTGGTTGCAGGGCAGATCCTCTTCCCCCATTCCAGAGCAGACAATTCTGTGGCTTGTCTGTGCTGTGTTGCTAGGACGCTACTGCTCTGTGTACGGAGGGCAGATGGCCCATGCCCTGTCTGCAAGCCCAGGTGGTACAGGTACCCTTTCAGTGGGGTGCAGCTACCATGAATAGTGCTGGAAATGCTGTTTCCAAGGGCACTCATGTCAGCCCCCAGCAGAGAAAGCCTCTGCTACATCCACAATAGTGAATAGGGGGAGTGGGGTTTACTCCTCCGTATCTGTTTCTGGCCACTAGTACCACCCGCTTCACAGATAGGGACTGCGTTCACATTTCCTTTGTATCAAGGTGCACTTAGGTGAGCTGTGCTCCTCCATCTCCTAGGGGCAGCCCATGTTGAAGGGATCCTGCAATTTTCCAAGGTCCCACTGGTTCCCTGTAGTTGCCAAAGTCAGAGAAGAGTCTGTGGTATATTTGCAGGGGATCTGGTGATATGGTGACACAATGGCTGAGGATCCCCAGGAAGAGCAATGGCCCACAACAGGTGCACAACCAGTGTGGCACCTGCTATGTCAGTTTAGGCCTGAGGGGAGTGTGAATGCACCTCCATGAGCTGGCCACTCAGTGCTCTGTCCCTAGGAAGTTTCTGAGTTGCTACTGACCGCATTTCCTAGGGTTGCAAGGGCAGAGGCATTCCCCAGCAATTTAGTCGTCAGCAGTTTGTCACAGCGGTGAGGGGAGCAAAGAAACACTCTCACTTACCCTTTCTGTGGGACTTCAAGTTCCTCAGGGGTCAGCCTTTGCCATATTCTTGCTGCCTTCCTTTTCTGTGCCCCCAGCTTTTTTCCTATGGGCTCTCACAGACCTTGGCTCACTTCCTTCAGCTTTCCACTCAGATCATGACCATTTACCTGTAACTTTGAATTTCTTTCTCAGGAGAATTGGCATCTGATGTCTCTATTCAGCCATCTTGGGGAAAAAAAGAACAAGGAAACTCTTCTGCTTACTTTGGATTCAAATATTTTACTAAAAGGAAAACATAGATGATTGATTTCAGAGTATTCTTATTTAGCAATATATGCCTTCAATACTGTAATTTTCCTTCCAACTCCTGCTTTTGATACATCCCACAAATTTTGATGAGTTGTCCTTTCATTTTTATTAAGTTCAAAATATTTCTTATATTCTCTTGATATTTTTTACCTATATGTTATTTATAAGTGTGTTGTTTAATCTGCAAGTATTTGGGGATTTTCTGGGTAACTTTTTGTTACTTATTTTTAGTTTCATTCCGTTGTGGCCAGAGAGTAAACATTATATGAATTCCATTCTTTTAAATTAGTTTAGATATGTTTTATGGCTCCAAATGAGGTCTATCTTGGTTAATTTCCTACTAGAGCTTGAGAAGAATGTATATTCTTCTGTTGTTGGATGAAGTAGTTTATAGATGTCCATTATATTGATGGTGATTATAATGATTTATGGTCCATTATATTGATTGTTGAGCTAAAAACTATATCCGTATTGATTTTCTGCCTGCTGGATCTGTCCATTTCTGATAAAGGGGCGTTGAAGTTTCCAACCATAATAGTGGATCAATCTGTTTCTACTTGCAGTTCTAGAAATTTCTGTCTCATGTAGTTTGATGCTCTCTTGTTAGATACATACACATTAAGGGTTGTTATGTTTTCTTGAAGAAGTGACCTGAATCATTGTATATCACTCCATTTATTCCTGATAACTTTCCTTGCTCTAAAGTTGGCTCTGTCTGAAATTAATATAGCTATTCTTATTTTTAGAAATTGGCATTAAATTTTTATATATCTTTTTCCATCCATTTACTTTTAATCTATATGTATCTTTATATTTAAAGTTGGTTTATTATAGATGACATATAGTTGGATCTTGTTTTACTATCCGTTGTTACCATCTCTATCTTTTAGTAGGTCCATTTATAGTGCTTGGCACTCAATGTAATCATTGATACAGTTGGATTAATATCTGCTGTATTTGTCCCTCCTGTCCACTGTATGATTGTTGTCATTCATTTCACATATGCATAAGCATACATAAGTGTGTGTAATTTGATATGCATGCATAGTTATATATATTTTTGCTAGTATTATTTCAATTAGGTCAATGAAGAATGAGAAAAATATGCTTTCATTTTACCTTCACTTATTTATTCTCTGATGCTCTTTATGTTCTGAATTTCTTAGGTATATAATTTTTCTTCTCTTGAAATAATTTCTTTTAACATTTCTTTCAAGACAGGTCTACTGGCTACAGATTCCTTTTTTTTTTATTTGAGAAAGTATTTTTCCTCCATTTTTGAAGGATAATTTCGTAGAGTAAAAGAATTGTAGTTTTTTTTCTCCACACTTTCAATATTTTACTCCGTTGTCTTTTTGCTTGCATAGTTTCTGGAGAGAAGTTGGTTGTAATTCTTATTTTTACTTACCCCTAGATAAGGTGTTATTTCCTCTGTATTCTTTTTGGATTTTTCTTTATCCTTGATTTTCTTTCGTTTTAAAATGATAAGCTTATGTTTAATTTTCTGGCATTTATCCTGCTTGGTGTTCTGTGAGCCTCCTGGATTTGTGGTTTTGTGTCTGACATTAACTTTGGGAGAACTCTTAGTCATCATGTTTGCAAATATTTCTTCTGTTCCATTCTGTCTTTTTTCTAGTATTCCCTTTATGTGTATGTTGCACATTTTGTAGTCGTATTACAGGTTTTGGATATTCTGTTCTTGGTTTTTTTTTTTCCTGTCATTTTTTCCTTTGCTTTTCCATTTTTGAGGTATCTATTGAGATATTCTGAAGATCAGAAGCTCTTTTCTCAGCTGTGTCCAGCCTATATTAAGCCCATTAAAAGTATTCTTCATTTATGTTATAGTGTTTAAATCCCTAGAATTTCTTTGTTGTTCTTTCTTAAAGTTTTTATCTCTGCCTGTATTGCCCATCTGTCCCTGCATGTTGTCTACTTCACCCATTAGCATTCTTAACATATTAATTATAGTTTTAATAAATTGCTGGTGTAATAATTTCACCATCCCTGCCATTTCTGAGTCTGGTTTTGATGCTTGCTTTATCTCCTCAACTATGTTTTTAGTTAGCTGGACATGATGTACTGGGCAGAAGGAAATCCTATAAATAGGCCTTTAGTAATGTGGTGGTAAGATATGGAAAGAGAGGACATCTTCTGTAGTTCTACAATTAGTCCTCAGGTTTTTTTTTTTTTTTTTGGGTCAGTCCATACCTCTGGATTGTGAACTTCTCATAGGCTTCTCTTTCCCTCGTAGGTGGGTCAGGAAGAAGGTCTAGAGTGGGCTGGAGGTGGGTATTCCCCTTCTCTCAAGTCAGTTAAGTTCTGACCAAATCCCTGTAGGTTAGGCTCTGATTACATAGTTTCTCCTGAGAGAAGACCTTGTTAAGTAGAAGAGAATGATCTGGAGTATTTTTAAATGGTTATTTCACCCTCCCCCTGCCTGGATCATGGAGGATCTTTCTCCAGTATTCACCAAGAAGACCTGGTAGAGCTACTGGATGTAAAATTCACAAAACTGTGGGTGCCCCATAATGACTGAGTCCCCCTGTAATTTTTAATGCCAGAGTTGTCCAAACCAATTCTCCAGCAATTCATCAATTAAGAGTTCAGGTTTTCCTGCACTGGCACTGGTTCCTGTGGAGGTTTTTGCTTGTAGGCTGCTTCTCTGTTGTTTCTGTCTTCTGTTTCTTCAGCTTTGAGGGCAGTAGTTTGCCTTATGATCTCATTTCTCTTATGAATCTAAAAGTTGTAGTTTTTTTCAATTTATTTAGCTTTTTACTTGTTAGAATGGAATAGCAATTTCCAAGCTTCTTACCTGCTAGGCTGGAAATGGGAAGCCTTGGTTTGTCATTTCATTCTTAATTTTGATGATGTCTCATTTATTAATTTTGTTTTTATGGATGATGATTTTTGTTACCATAGCTAAGAAATTTTTGTCTAGCCCAAGGTAGAATAGATTTTCTGTGTTTTCTAAAGTCTTTATAATTTCAGGTTTTACATTTAGGTATATGTTCTATTTTGAGTTAACTTTTGTATATGATGCCAATATCAAAAGAAGTTTGTATTTTTTGATTTTTTTTTTTTGGTCTATGGATACCATACTGTTTTAGCACAATCTGTAGGAAAGACTATTCTTTTTCATTGAATTGACTTTGCACTTTTGTTGAAGGCCATTTACATGTGGTCCTATTTCTGGATTTTCTATTCTGTTTCATTTATGTATTTTGTCTGTCATGATACAAATACCACACTGCTTTGAATATTGTAGGACTGTAAATCTTGAAACCAGCTAGTGTAAGTCCTCTTTGTCCTACATTTTCTAAGATGTTTTGGCTATTCTGGATTCTGTGCATTTTTATATGAATTTTATAATCAGCTCATATATTTCTATAAAAAACCTTGTTGAGATATTATTGGGATTGCACTGAATCTACAGATCAGTTTAGCCAGAAAATAACATTTTAATAATACTGAGTCTTCCTTTTGGTGAACACAATGTATTTCTCTATTTAGGACTTAAAATTTTTCCAAGAGGTGTTTTGCAGTTTTAAATTTATAGGTCTTATACATATTTTGTCAGATTTATTTCTAAGTTATTTTGTATTTTAATGCTATTGTAATAGGCATTTTTTAAATTTCAGCTTTCAATTATTAATTGCTTGTGCATAGAAATACAGTTGAGTTCTGCATATTGATCTTGTATCCTGCAATCTTGCTGAGCTCACTTATTAGTACTTGTAGCTTTTCACATAGATTCCATAGAATTTTCTGTATAGACATTCATGTCAGCTGAAAATAGAGGCACTTTAACTTTTTAATTTATTTTATTCTTTTCTTTCAATCTCCATGCCTTTTATTTACTTGTTTTGCCTATTTCACTGAGTAGAACCAACTGTTCAGTGTTGAATAGAAGTAATAACATCAGATATCCTTGACTTGATCCTGATATTAGAGGGAAAGCCTTCTGTCTTTTGTCAAAAATATGATGTTAGTTATGTGTCTTTGGAAGATGCCCTTTATATGGCTGAGGAATTTTGCTTCTATTAGTAGTTTACGGAGAGTTGTAATGAGGAACTGATGTTGGATATGGGCAAATGCTTTTTCTGCATTTGTTTAGGTAATCATATGGGTTTTTTTTTCTTTTTTAGTTTGTTAAAATGGTGAATTAGCTTAACTATTTTTCTAATGTTAAACTAACTTTGCATTCCATACTTAGCCATTATTTAATATCCTTTTAATATATTATTGGATTTGATTTGATAAACATTCTTTTTTTTTTTTTTTGCATCTATGTTCCTGAGGGGTATTGGGGTATATGAGTGTGTTTTCAAATATCTTTCTCTGGTTTTGGTGTTAGGATAACATTGTATTCAGAATCTTTTGGTAAGACCATTTTTAAAAAGAGATTTTATAAATTTGATACTAACTTTTTTCTTAAATATTTGAAAGACTTCACTAATGAAGGCATGTGGGCCTGGAGTTTTCTTTGTGAGAGGGATTTTTAATGACGAATTCAGTCTTCTAAGAATATAAAACTATTCAGGTTATCTGTTTCTTCTTTTGTGAGTTTCATAGTTTGTATTGTTCAGAAAATCTGTTTATTTCCTAAAAATTTTAAAATTTATTGGCATGAAATTGTCATAATAATTTTTTTTGATAATTATAGGCTATAGTGTTGTCATCTTTCTCATACCCAATATTCATAATTTATGTATTCTCTTTTTATACTGATTATTCTGTGTATAATTTTGCAAAGAATTAGGATTGTGTTTAATCAATTTTCCATATTACTTTTGCTGTTTTCTATTTCATCTATTCATCTGTGATCTTTCTACTTACATTGAGTGTAATGTTCTCCTCTTTCTACCTCTTACCATGCAAGCTAAGGTCATTAAGTTGAGGCCTTATTTCTAATATAGGTACTGAGTGCTACACGTTTTTAATAACGTAAATTCTCTATTTTTTATTTCTGTTTAGTTCAAAATACTAATTTTATTTATGAATTATTCTTTGCCCTATGGGTCATTTGAGTATATGTACAAATACCTAAATTCCAAATATTTAGACATTTTACTTATATTTTTCTATTAGGGATTTCTCATTTAATTCCACTGTAATTAAAGAACATGTTTCTTGATTTGAATCCTTGATGTAAATCCTATATTGAGAATTTCTTTTATGGTCCAGTAGTATATAGTTTACCTTGGTAAATGTTTCATGTGCCCTTTAAAAGGATTTGAACCCTACTGTTTTTGAGTCAAGTGCTCTATAAATGTCAATTGAGTCAAGTTGGTAGATAGTATTATTCAAGTCTTCTGCATCCTTCCTGATTTTCTATCTAGTTGTTCCATCAATAATTTAGAGATGTGTGTTTAAATATATGAGTATAATTGTGGATTTTTCTATTTCTCCTAGAAGCTTTTACCAGTTTCACTTCAGGATTTTCAAAACTCTGTTATCATTGTCATGTTTTCTTAATCATTATGAAATGATTATCTTTATACCTTGTGATATTCTTTCCTTTAAAATTTGACTTTGATATTAATATAGACATTCCTGCTTTCTTTTAGTAAGTGTTAGAATGGTAAATCTTTTCCCATCTTTATACTTTAACCTTTCTGTGTAGTTGCATTTTAAATGGGATTCTAATAAATAGTACCTAGTTGAATCTTACTTTTGAACCCAGTTTGACAACTTCTTCCTTTTAGTTAGAGTGTTTGGAATGTTTGCATTTTTTTATAATTATTTGTCTATTCTGTGTTCAATGTTGCCTCTTTTTGTGCCTACTTTTGGTAAGTAGAGCATTTTTGTTGATTCCATCTTGTCTCCATTGTTACTAGCTGTAATTCTTTGTTGTATTATTTTAGTGGTTGCTTTAGGATTTATAGTATACATCTTCAATTTATCACAGTCTGTCTTCAAGTAATATTATGCCACTTATTGTGTATTATAACAACCTCACAAGAATATACTTCCATTTCCCCCTCTCACTCCATCCTTTGTGCTATTTTTGTCATATATTCTGTCTTTCTGTGTTATAGGCTCTGCAATGCTTTGTTATGAGTTTTTGTTTAAATAATTGATAATCTTTTAAGGAAATCTAACCAATAAGGAAAAAGTCTTTTATATTTATCAGTGAATTTTCCATTTTCAGTGCTCTTCATTGTTTTGTTTAGATTCGGACTTTTATATGTTACAGTTTTCTTTCTTCCTGAATAACTTCTTTTTACATTTTTTGTTGCCCAGGTCTGTTGATGTTGAATTATTTCATTACATATATACTAGGTAAAGTCTTTTACAAAGATATTTAGTAACATATTTTTACTGGATATAGAATTCTAGGTTGAAAATGTTCTCTTTCAGTATTTTAAAGATACTGTTGCACTTGGTTTCAGCTTGCATTGTTTTCAACCAGCAGTTTGCTTTCATTCTTAAATTTGTTACCATGTGCATAATGCCTCTCTTTTTCTGTAGTTACTTCTGAAGATTTTTAAATCATTGTTTTTAAGCAATTTATGATATATTTTGGTGTTTTTTTCTGTTTTTTTTGTGGTTGGAATTTGTTGAACTTCTTAAACTTTTAAATTTATTATTTTTATCAAATTTGTATAATTTTCAGCTATTGTTCTTTAAAATGTTTCTTCTATCTCTCTTCCATTTCCTTTGTGAACTCTATTTAACTGTATATTAGGCCACTTGATGTTTTCCCACAGTTCATTGATACTCTGTTCCTTTTTTATTGTCTTTTTTTCCCCTCTATTACTCTGAGTAACTTCTTTTGGTGTTTTTTAAGATCGCTAATCTTTCCAATAGCAGTGTTTAATATGGCTTTATTCCCATGCAGCGTATAATCTGCCTTTAGTCCCGTTTGGTGTATTTTTTATCTCAGGCATTGTAATTTTTATCTCTAGCCATCTGATTTATCTATTTTTAAAATATATCTTTCATGTAGTCTATTACCATGTACAACCTTTTTTTAGCTTCTTGCGCATATGAGGAAGAGTTAACTGGTTTAATATTCATATTTACTAATTTGATCATCTGCATCATTTCTAAGTCAATTTTGTTCAGTTGTTTTTTCCCTCACTGTGGGTAGTATTTTAATGGTAATTTTTTATTAGATGCCACACATGGTGAATTTCACTTTATTGAGTGCTGAATATTTTTGCATTTATATATGTATTTTTGAGCTTCATTCCAAGATGCAGTCAAGTTTCCCAGAAACAAACAGTTAATCCTTTCAGATCTTTCTTATAAACTGTTAAATGTTATCAGCAGCATTTAATCTTGGGCTCTTTTCCCCTTATTGATGCAAAACTGTTCTGAGTACTTTATCTGAGTAGTTTGTCAAACACCCTGTGAATTATGAGCTTTTCTGCTTTAGCTGAGGACAGGAACGGTTTTTCATCTAGTGTGAGCACGAAGGTTTGTTCCTTTTAATCCTTTTTGGTGCTTCTTTCTGAGGGTAGTTTCCACACATGCATGTGTTTATCAGTAAAGGTGAAAAGTCAAGAGAAACCTCCAGACCTCCAGAGTTCTTTTTCTGTAGTTCTTTCCCCTCAAGTAGTGTGCCTTTTGAACTAGCTATCCTGGTTCTCTTGAGCTTCCAGCTTCTTCTCAACTTAAGGAGACAGCAAGGATCTTCCTGGGTTTCTTCTCCCTTGTGCTGTGCTTGGAAACTTCAGACAATAGGGTGGGACAATCATAGGGCTCAAATGATTTGTTTCTAATCTCTTAGGATTATCATCCTTTGTTGCCTACCTTCCAATGTCTTTAAAACCATTGTTTTATAAATATTTTAAAAATTTGTTTCATGCAGGAAGGTAAAAATCCAGGCCCATTGTTTTATCTTCACTGGAAGATGTCTTCCTCACTCTTGAATTTTAAAACCTTTTTTTCCTTTAAGAAGTATTTATATATTATTGCTAATAAGCTTAATACCATCTTTGAGAACCATATTACAAGGAAAATATTACTCTAATTGCTCCCTAGTTTTCTATTCGTAAAATTCTTAATAATTTACCTGAAAGCATGTAAATATGACATGAAATTTAATAATTTACTTGAAAGCATATAAATATACAGTAAAATCCTGAAATTTGGAAATAAAGAGTTTTGGGTTCAACATGCCATCACAATAGCAATGTGGCTTAGAAGTTACTTCTCAAGCTACAACCATATTCATTGTGCAAGGTGCTTGTTAGTGTTAAATTAAATAATGCTTTTAAAAAGACTAGCACATAGCATGTAATCAAAAATGGTAACAATAAGTACAGCAGCAATAATAGCATCATCAGCAACAGCAATAGTTGATATCACTGAAAAGTTAAATGTCATGTGCTTATTAGGCAGTGGCAAGATAAGAGAAAATAAATTATAAAATAGGAAAAAAGAGACTCTCTTTAAAAGTTTTTCAGAAAATGGAGAACAAAAATCCAGTTGAACCATTACTCGTCTGACCATATAACCACTGTTAAATAATAAATGCCTCTAAGATAAAAGAAGCAAGATAAGATAATTTTGCTAGCCTTGTTTATCATTTAAAATTCATCTATGGGAAACATTGTGGAACGAAATGTTGCAGTCTCATGTGATAAGGTTTCACTTTCTAATTTTGGCATCCTCACATTTACAGATAAGATTATTTCATTTTGTGATGATAAAGCTTGAGAATGACTGTACAAACCCCTGAATTATTTAGCTATATTGATACATGGTGATCCAAGGCTATTACAGTGGTCTGTAGAAAATGACATTTTAATAGTGAAAAACAAAAGAGAAAACATTAACTCTTAATTAATCAGTTATTTTGACCTAAACATATCTCACTTTGTAGTCCCACTTTGGTTCTCCTTTACTACCCAGCTTTGAAGTTGTTTTCTTTTACTAAGAGAAAGAAGGAAGTTATTTGCATAACAACAGCAATAACAACAACCACAAAATGGAATAAGTAAAAGTAATGTCATTTTTTCCAACTTTTAGGCTCACGGGGTGCATTTGCAGGTTTATTATGTGGGGAAATTGTATGTCACTGGGGTTTGATGTACAAATGATTTCATCACCCAGGTAGTGAGCACCGATTTATTGAGTCCCATCGCAAGGATTGTTCTAAGAGCTTTATGTCATGCTATACAATTTAATTCTCACACAAACAGTGCATGTAAAAGAGCTTGGTAAAATCTAAATCACTGTACAAATACAAGGCAGTTCTGGTGTTATGCACTAGATTATACACAAAGATTATGCACCAGATTACACATCTTCCTTTCAAAAAAGAAGTCATGTATAAAGTATAAGTAAATGTTCTCATTTCCTTTCCCAGTATAAAAATGCATCTCTCCAAGGCCTTCTATGGAGATCTCCTTTGGGGTCTAGGCAAATCCCTGGAGTAAATTCTTGGAAGGAGACCGTATGGTAGAACATGATATTGTATTATCCTTTGCTAGCGCAGACGGCTTTTCCATCTTTAGAATTTCAATTGTTTTAAGTTTCTGCTACATAAAAAAGATGTTATAGTAAGCAGGACAGGAAGTACAGCCAGCAAGATCTGCATACTAAACTAAGTAGTGCTCTCAAGATAAGCAACACTCTGAGGGAAAAAGATCTGAAGATCTCACACCCTCTATGCTGTGGTGTGAGAGCACTTGCTTACCTTAAAGAGATTTAGCTGTTTCAAAGGCCCTGAGTTCCTTTTACAGAGGGAAATTACAGTTGGTGCTGTCTTCTCAAAACATGTTTATTGCAGTTATATTTATTTCATTGTTTAAATCCCCATCACCTTGGCAACAATGTTCTATTACAAGTATAACACCTGAATCTTAACAAAGCTATCTCAAAGTAAGTTGTCTAATGAGTAAAGCTTCATTTATGCTCTTTTGCTAAAAATGTAATTTTGTTGGAGGTTGAAACAAATGACTAAATTTTTATGTGTGCTTCTGAGAAACCTTGGGAAGATACAGCTCCTCAGGGTAGTGGTTTCAGTGAGGATGGCCCCACTGATGTTGCAGGAGAAATATTGGCCTCCTGTCTCCTTCCTTCTTCTGCCAGTTTCCCTCATGGACTTCATTCTTCAGTCATAGAAAACTGACATCTTTTCATACTGTGTTTCATACGTAAGTACTTCCATATCTTTGCTCATATTTAACTTACTATCTGAAATACCCTTTCCCACCCTTTTTGGATGCCTTCATTCTGTTTATTTTTTAAAGCCCAATTCAAATTATATTGTTAAAAACTTTCTTGATTTCATCCGGCAAAATTGCTCATATTACTAAGCAGTATTTGGCCAGTTCCTCTGTTTTAGCATTTACCATGTGTTTTACATATTTGCTCCCCTGTTCTCTTATTCTACTACACTGTGAATGCAGAGGCTTTCTTATTTTTGTTTGTATGCAAAACACCTATCCAAATGCCTGGGATTTGGAAGACTCCCAATAATGTCTGTTGAATAAATGAACAAATAGGACTTCTTGTAGCAAGAACAAGGATTCCTTGATTTGGATCCAGGCTCTACCACTTATTAACTATATGGCCTTGGGCAAAACCTTAAATTCTGTGTTCCTTATTTGTAAATAGGATAAGAAGAATATGCTCCAGACTGTTGATAGTGGTTCTGAGACATAAAAGTGTGAGAGAAGCTCACTTTCTATTTCCCTTATCAAGTTGTTATGAGGATTTAATATGTATCAAGTGTGTATAATAGTGCCACACACATAATAAGTGTTTAGTATCATTATTATTTTCTAAATTACTGTCCTACCTTTCCAAGTTTATATTGTCTTCCAATTTTGATAGCAGGGTGTGTGTTAGAATGGATTACCACGACTGCTTCACTGCGACTAGATCTATGTTATTGGTGTTATGCCTGGAGGTTTTTAGTTTCCAGATTTTATTCTGGCAGATTTCTAGGTGCCGAGGTATCTTCACAGGGATGTGTTTCCATTCTGAATCCTAGCTGAATAGATGCACACTGCTGCTACCCCCTGATGATCCTGCATGACTGGGTTTGTATTGGGATCCTTACTGTGTCTATTAGGGCACTTTGTGTTGGTCACAAACCTTAACAAGAGTCATAGAACTTACTCGACCTTACACTCCAGGTCTTAGCTAGACCTCAAGTGCCCTTCACTTTGGTCCCTAACCACCTGCCTTGTCCTGCCTTGCACAGGGATTGGCGTGTTAGTAGTATCTTCTTGGCGAGTACTTGTATTGGTCAATTTTCATACTGCTATGAAGAAAATACCTAAGACTGGGTAATTTCCAAAAAACAGAGGTTTAGTGGACTCATGGTTCCACATGGCTGGGAAGGCCTCACAATCACAGCATACAGCAAAGGAGGAGCAAAGGCATGTCTTACATGGCAGCAGGCAAGAAAGCATGTGCAAAGGAACTGCCCTTTATGAAACCATCAGATCTTGTAAGACTTATTCTCTATCAGGAGAACAGCATGGGAAAACTGGAACCCATGATTCAATTACCTCTCACCAGATCCATCCCATGACACATGGGGATTATGAGAGCTACAATTCAAGAAGAGATTTGGGTGAGGACACAGCGAAACTATATCCGTACTTCTTGAATGGATTAGGAAATGAATGAAGATTAGACCAAATATATTACTATTTTTCTTGTAAAAGTAATAGAAAATTATGCATAACTTTTCATTACAGATATATGATATAGAATGTGAGCTTCTCTTACACTTTTATGTCTCAGAACCACTATCAACAGATTGGAGCATATTCTTCTAAATTTTGCCTACATATTATGAAATATATATTATTTTAGTGTTTATTTATTTCTAAACAAAGGACAAATTCAGTATCAGCATCACTGAGGTAAAAGAGTAACTAAGGAATAAGGAGTAGATTACAAGAAAATGGGCTGTTGGGATGTTGGGATCATAGATAGCGTTCAGGGAATCCTGAGTCCATACTCTGCTTTTTAAAGTGATTTTTGGTTCAATAACCAATTTAAACTAAGAACAACAGTGCATGAAAGTGCCTGTCTTGCCTTATTATTATCATTAGAAGAAATGCTAATTTGGATACTTGGAAAATTTCATCCTATTGTTTTACTTTGAGTATCTTTGATTATTAGTTTAGAAATATATTTTTTTCATGTGCTTATTGGCCATTATTTCTTTCTTAAGTGTTTTATGCCCATTTATATCATTATGTATTACTGGTGTTAACCATTTTTCTTTGCATTCTATGGCAAACTAAAATTGTGGTTGTTTTTATATATTGGTTCCTCAAGCTTTTATGTAGTCAAGTCTACAGATAATTTTTTTTTATTTTTTAATTTGTTGCTATTAGGTTTAGAAAGATTTTTTCAGTCTGTGTAACAGATAAATATTCATAATGAGCTGCTACTACTTTTTAATTTTTTAATTTAAATATAACATACTTCAACATATAAAAAAGGGAATATTTCAGAAGTACGTAGCTGGCTGGGCGTGTTGGCTCATGCCTGTAATCCTATCACTTTGGGAGGCCAAGGCATGCAGATCGCCTGAGGTCAGTAGTTCAAAACCAGCCTGGCCCACATGGTGAAACCCTGTCTCTACTAAAAATACAAAAAAATTAGCTGGGCGTGGTGGCAGGCTCCTGTAATCCCAGCTACTCAGGAGGCTGAGGCAGGAGAATTGCTTGAACCTGGGAGGTGGAGGTTGCAGCGAGCCGAGATCATCCCACTGCACTCCAGCCTGGGTGACAGAGCAAGACTCCATCTCAAAAAAAATAAAAATAAAAATAAAAGAATAAAAGAAGTATGTAGTTTATCTGCTGTATTAGTCAGGGTTCTTTAAAGGAACAGAACTAATAAGACATATATATTTAAAGGAGAGTTTATTAAGTATTAACTCACACAATAACAACATCCCACAATAGGCTGTCTGCAAGCTGAGGAGCAAGGAGAGCCAGTCCCAGTCCCAAAACTGAAGAACTTGGAGTCCAGTGTTCAAGGGCAGGAAGCATCCAGCATGGGAGAAAGATGTAGGCTGGGAGGCTAGGCCAGTCTAGTCTTTTCACATTTTTCTGTCTGCTTTATATTCTAGCCGCACTGGCAGCTGGTTAAATGGTGCCCACCCAGATTACGGGTGGGTCTGCCTTTCCCAGCCCACTGACTCAAATGTTAATCTCCTTTGGCAATACCTTCACAGACACACCCAGGATCAATATTTTTCATCTTTCAATCCAATCAAGTTGACACTCAGTATTAACTGTTGCATCTGTTTGATTTACTCATTGGATCATGCAGATCAATAAATCAAATAAAACATCACTAGTATCCTGAAGACTCCTCCCCACCATTCTTGTGAGCCTTTCAAGTCAGTAACCACTGTCCTGATTTGTAACAGCATAGATTTTTATTACCTATTTTTCTATTTCCTGAATTCATATAAATGTAATCATACATACATATGTACATTTTTATGTCTAGTTTCTTTTACTCAAAATTATATTGTTGATATTCATTATTTAATGTAGTAGATGTTTGTTCATTCTCATTTCCATATATCCATTGTGTGACTATTTCACTACTATGGACTGAATGCTTATGTTTCTCCAAAGTTCGTATGTTGAAGCCTAATCCCTAAAGTGAGGATATTTGGAGGTGGGGTCTTTCAGAGGTAATTTGGGCATGAAAGTGGAGCCTTCATGAATGAGATTAGTGCCTGTATAAGAAGAGACACAAGAGAGCTTACTTCTTTCTCTCAGCAATATACCATGTAAGAACACAGCAAAAAGATGGTTAGTTGCAAATCAGGAAGTGGTCAGTCAGCAAATGCCAGATCTGCTGGCACCTTCATCTTGGACTTACCAATGCCCAGAACTGTGAGAAATAAGAGTTTGTTGTTTAAGCCACTCTGTTATATTTTGTTATAACACTCAGTTTATCCATTCTACTCTCTGGTTTTCCTTCCATATTTACATTTATAATCTATCTGTAATTAATTTTCGTGTATGATAAGAGGTCTGAATTAACAGAGATACAGCCCTAGAGTGCAGCCCTAGAACCCAGCAAATGTCCTGTGGGGAAAATGAGCTTCATGTTTGAGGCCTTACAAGTTTCCATTTTATCATTTTGGAGGTATCTAATTTTTAGTTGCTGTAAATAGTGCTGCAATTAACATATATTTTGGTAAACATATATTTAAGCATATCTGTTGCATACATACTTCAAAATTGCTGGGTCATGGAATATACACTTGTTTAGCTTAAATAGCCAAATGGTTTTTCTAAGTAGTTGTACCAATTTATACTTCCTCTAGCAGTATGAGAGTTCTCTCCCTTCCTCCAACTCTTGACTTGTTTCCTCATTTTTATTTCAGAATTTCTGATGGGTATGAAGAAGTTTCTCACTGTGGTTTTATGTAGCATTTTCCTAATGATTTAAAACAATTTAGCAGCTTTTATGTAGTATATTGGTCATTTTGATACCCTTTTCTTTGAAGTATCTGTTCAAATCTTTGCTGATTTTTAAAAATTAAGTAGTCTGCCATTTTCTTACGGATTTGGAGAGTTCTTAATGTATTCCAGATGCAAGTCATTTGCATGAATTGGAAATATTTTATTCTACATTGTGGCTTGTTTTTTATTCTTTAAATGGTGTCTTTTGACATATATATTTCCTTAATTCTAATATATTACAATTAATGAGTTATTTTACCTTGACAGTTAGCTCTTTTTAGGTCCGGTTTAAAAGATATATGTTTACTCTAAGCTCATGAGAATGCTTGCCTTTGTTTTTCTCTAAAAGATCTCTCATTTTATCTTTCATATTTATATCTGAAGTCTATCTGGAATTAACTTTTGTGTATGATATGAAGTATGAATTAAAAGAGAGACATGCAGCTTTAGAACTCAGCAAATGCCACGTAGGGAAAATGAGCTTTGTGTTTGAGGCCTTTCAGTTTTCCATTTTGTCATTCAAGCCTTTGATTACTGCTCAAAGCTTTGCTGATTTTCTTTCAGGGGCCTTCTTCTTGGGCTAAGCCTGATCTTTAGCCTGAATCCAGAATCATAAGATACCCTCAAAGGAAGAAAAAAGATTGGCAATCATCAGTTCACCTGAGAAAGTTGCCTCTTTGGAATTTTAGACCATCAAATTCTCTCTACGTTTGCATCTCTCTGATGCCTCAACAGTATTGTCTATGTAATTTAAGTAGCCTCTTCTCATTTTTTCGCAGTAGGAACATTGGACTGCCTTAACTTACTAGAACCACATGGATATAGAAATTTATCTTACTAGAACCACTTGGAGATAGAAATTTGCCATCTCATGCCGGTTAGAATGGCAATCATTAAAAAGTCAGGAAACAACAGATGCTAGAGAGGATGTGGAGAAATAGGAACACTTTTACACTGTTGTTGGGAGTGTAAATTAGTTCAACCATTGTGGAAGACAGTGTGGCAATTCCTCAAGGATCTAGAACCAGAAATACCATTTGACCCAGCAATCCCATTACTGGGTATATACCCAAAGGATTATAAATCATTCTACCATAAAGACACATGCACACATATGTTTATTGCGACACTGTTCACAGTAGCAAAGACTTGGAATCAACCCAAATGCCCATCCATGATAGACTGGATAAAGAAGATGTGGCATATATAGACTATGGAATACTATGCAGCCATAAAAAAGGATGGGTTCATTTCCTTTGCAGGGACATGGATGAAGCTGGAAACCATCATTCTCAGCAAACTAACACAGTAACAGAAAAGCAAACACTGCATGTTCTCACTTTTAAGTGGGAGTTGAACAGTGAGAACACATGGACACAGGGAGGGGAACATCACACACTGGGGCCCCTCAGGGTTGGGGGGCTAGTGGAGAGATAGCATTAGGAGAAATATCTAATGTAGATGATGGTTTGATAGGTGCAGCAAACCACCATGGCGCCTGTATACCTATGTAACAAACCTGCAGGTTCTGCACATGTATCCTGGATCTTAAAGTATAATTTTTAAAAATGCACACTAGATTTTAAGAAAATAATGTAAATATCTCAAAAATAATTTTAAATTATTGATAGTATGTTGAAATAATATTTTGAATAAATTGACTTAAAATATTATGAAAAAAAATTATTTTAATAATTTTATTAAAATATATATAAAATATGTAATATTTACATATATTATATATTACAATAATATATTTCATAAATTATTTAACTATATGTAACTATATTATATAATATGTATTTTGTAATATATACTACTATATAATTTTTAATTTACTTATGCTATGAAATATTTAAATATACATGTATTTAAAGTAATATTTGTCTTTGATTTTAATTTATAGTGTGATCATGAAGAAATAACTATTTCTAAAAGGCAACATTTTATCTGCTTTATTTATTTGTTTATTTAATTTTTTGAGACAGTCTCACTCTGTCCCCCAGGCTAGATTACAGTGGTGCCATCATAGCTCTCTGCAGCCTCAAACTTCTGGGTTCAAGTAATCCTCCAACCTCAGCTTCCCAAATACTTGGGATTACTTACAGGCACACACATTTAATGATTAGTTTATCATTTCTCTACTTACCTCTTATTATTTCTTTACTGTATTATATCTTTGTTATATATCTAATTTGAGTCTTTCTGGAAAGTTTTGCTGTTGTTATTCTAGTATTCATATTTTAACAAATCTTCCTTGAGCCCCTCCAATATGTCAGTCTGTGCTAAATTGTTAAATAGACATAAGTCCTGCTTTGTTGGCTTTTGCAGGCTAATGAAGGATGTGGATATCAATTTAAAAATCATGTATGAATATAAAATAAGTTCCAAAATGTATCTGATGCTGATGGCCCAGGGTCTGTACCTTAAGAGTCACTGATCTAGGTTTATCAATGGTGTTGGCTAATGTATTTTCTCTCTGGGCTAGTGTAGATCTGTTTTTGGTATTTCATTTCTGGATTTTTTATTTTTTTATTTTTATTTTTATTTACTTATTTATTTTTTGAGATGGAGTCTTGCTCTGTCACCAGGCTGGAGTGCAGTGGTGCAATCTCAGCTCACTGCAACCTCTGCCTCCCAGGTTCAAGCAATTCTCCTGCCTCAGCCTCCCGAGTAGCTGGGACTACAGGCACGCGCCACCATGCCTGGCTAATTTTTATATTTTTAGTAGAGACGGGGTTTTACTATGTTGGCCAGGATGGTCTCTATCTCTTGATCTCGTGATCAGCCCGCCTAGGCACACTGTTCTAGTGTGGCCAATGATGAGCAAATATTAGTGGCCTAGAAAGGGAAGTGCTTCCTGTTTGCTCACCCATAGAGGATGTAATGGTGAGTGTTTTTTCTTACTATGACAAAGGCAATTCTGTGTTTATGTGGACCAGTGGCAGAAGCCAGACAGCCTGTGTGCATGCAGCCTGATTGAATGGTTTTACTAGCAAAATGAAGGAAATAGGAGTATCTCCTTTGTGTAGGGAGAGCTAAAGATGATGTCTGAGTGATTCTGTGGGCAGCTAAGGGTTTCCCCAGACCATGTGAAAAGGCAGATGAGCTTCCAAATACAGAATCTTCTCATAGGAGGACAGATGAGCTTCTAAGACAAAATTTTTCCACATGGACCAGAGGGAATCTGTTGACATATAATTATTCCTCTGGATAATACTGGTCTTGTTAACTAGTTTTCATTCCTTTTCACTTGTAAAATCTTGGTAGAATTCCAAAACCTGAGGTATACATGTGAAATCCCTCTATTTTTCAGAGGTAGTGGTGAGAAAGGTTCCCCCTTCCCATAATAATTGGGTTAACATAGCAAGGAAATTAGAATAAAAGGGTTTCCATGTTTTTATGTCACCATATTCCCAGACTCCCTCTGGAATATTAAATCTTAATATGACCCAGCAAACTCTCTCAACCCTAAATTTAAGTTTGTCCCTTGTTTTCTATTTAGGTTCATTTTCTCTACTACACTCTTAGTTCCTTGATGTTGTGAATCATGTCAGAACATCTCAGAGTTCTAAGTGCTGCACATATGTGGCAGCCATAAAAATGTGTCACTCAGATATATTTTCATGACTGTGGGGAGCATAGTTGACTAATAGCCAGAATTCTGCTCCCCTGGATCCACTACCACATTCGTCCTGAGGCCATACATCCTGTAGGTTGCTTCCAGCCAATGACTAGGCATAGTAGGAGTACTAGGAGTCTGCTTGCAAGGACTTTTCTGATGGCCAACTTTGGCTACAGGACTTCCTATTGATTTGATGTAACTCTCTTAGAACCATGTTGCAGTATGAGATTCTTCACATTCAGTTCTTCTTTCTTCCTCCATCCATTTTCAGATATGGTGCTTTGTGGTCTGAAGGTCATCCCTGCTTCCTTTCCCTTAGTCTTTCACAGGCATTTCTCCCAACAGGTAGTGAGAATGGGTTTTGGGTTCTGGAAATGGTTCAGTCACAGTAATGATATCATCCTGGGTTTTATGTGGGACACAAATATTTCCTGGCACAAGGTGGCCACACAAATGAGGATTTCATCAATGATGAAACTGAGAAAATGTGCAAGTGGAGAGGATTGTCTTGTAGGTACAATGATTTGGGCATTTTAAAGATAGGAGAAAAACATGTCTACAAGGACTGTGGAGTTAGCTAATTATTGCTAAATTCTGTTGATGCCCTTCAGAAGAATAATGAGAAACTGAGGTCAATCAAAAAGCAATTAAGGGAGAAGTGTGAGATCCAGTGAGACACTTTGGTAGTTTACAAAGAGGTCCATTCTCCTGCAGTAGAAGAGTGGATTCAGAGGAGAAGCAGATTCAGGACTTGTTAGAAAGGCACAGGTTTAGAAATGTTTAAATGCCCGTACAAAGTAGGTCTATTACACTAAGATCAGAGACCTCATGAGAAAACCCAGTATCCTAAATATGGGACAGGGACATTTGGATGGACACCTTAGAGTTTTGGGCTCTGCAGATCCCTCTGAACATGCACAGCTTTGGGAGTTAGTCCACCCATCTCTTGTAAGAACTGGCACTACCTTGGTGCTGGAATATACTGCAGAGGCTGTTTCTCTGCAAGGCAACAGGTGCCCCTTTGAGGAGCTACTCTCTCAACTCTTGTCCAGCCACCAGGCTAAAACTATTGCTACTCTCACCTCTTGTCCCTCTACCAGGTTATAACTAGGTTTAAATGGTTAGCTATTTAACGATTAAAATACTACTACTACAAATAATACTGAGTCCAACTCTTTGACTACCTCTCCTATCATCATCTGTGGCCTGCAAAGGTGATCCATCATTAAACTTCTAAGGAGCTACTGGAGTAGCTCTTCAAAAGGGCACCTAGCTAGAATTGGATGTTTGATAAGGAAGCACAGAGGTTATATACTAAAGGTGCTATAACAATTAATTAGCCTATCTGCCAGGAGCCAGGAGATTGGGTTTCGAGGGTGATTGATTAAACAGGCTAGAAAGTAAGACTGGATATGCAAGAATTAATTTACTTGGGTGTACTTTCTTATGATACAGGATTTTCACACCTAGGCAATCACACCAAGTACTGCTAGGGTAGCTCTTAAAAGCCTGAAGAAAGTGATATCTCATGCTGAGTGAAATGCCTGAGTACCCTGACACACGATAAAGGAAGAATAACAAGGCTGAGGAAAATAGGCCTGTTGGACAGGACACATTAAGTGACACCAGAAGACTTACCAGAAGACTATGTGCCACAAGAGGGCACACAGAACATGCTATACTCCAAGGCTATCAGAAATATAAAATGTATTCATGATCACTACACAGGCCACAGAGATTGTAGACCAAGACGGTCCCATACACTGTGTATTCCTGATGGCCATGGAGTGCCCATATCACTGAGAGTTTAATTATTGATCACCTTTGCAGACCACAGGTGATAGGAGAGGTAGTGAAAGAGCTGGACTCAATACTGTTTATGATAATGATGCTCTGAAGTAATATAGACCAGCTGGAGGTGTTTAACAACCAGGAGCCAGAAGGCCATAGTTATTTTAATTGTAGGCAAGGTCTGAGGACCATCAAAGGGGGCTTGACTTTCAGGGACTTGTGGAGATGTCTAATAGAGTGCAATGTCCCTATCGACAAACCAGATGGATGCAAATAAGGGTGCTGATTAAATCCACAATAAGAAAGAGGCAAGAATGGAGAATGGTTGATTTCCCCCCAAAAGTCACTATCTTTTCTCAGTTCCTGGACCTGAGTCAGTTTTCTGAAAACCATTAATAGAAGAGGTGGCCATGTTTCTTGGAGGGAGGACCCCGTAATACTATAGCAGATACATTTGTTAATGATTCCCCTAGTCCTCTTCCAAAGGGACTGATGACCATGTATTTGGATGACTGTACACTGAGGAACAGGGAATAATGAGACAGTTCAAGTACTATTGACAAAGCATCAAAATTGAGATTATATTCAATGACCCGAAATATCATCGTGGAGCCTCTGTTAGAGCGGAGGTTTCTGGGGGCCAATAATAAATGGAGTCTGGCTCACAGTGTGTCTGCTGGGTCCATGAACAACCCAGTGGCCATTTACCCAGTCCTCAAGTGTATAATTGAGATCAATATACTTGGCTATTGAAGTAACCTTTACATTAAGTCCTTGGCCCAAGGCGTAAGAGCTATCATAGTGAGGAAGGAAGACCAAGTGGAGCTCTTCAATGGGGCCATTTCCCAAGCCAGTTTAAATAAAAAATAAAATCATATCCTGCCATGTTGGGGGAATGGTTTAGGTTAGTGACACCACTAAATTTCTAAAGCAGAAGTCACAAAACTTTTTCTGTAAAGGACCAGATAGTAAATATTTTAGGCCTGTGGCCATGCTATCTCCGTCACAGCTATTCAACTCTGCCATTGTATTTTGAAAGTTCCTATAGACAATATGTAAATGAATGGAAATGGCTGTGTTCCAATAATGCTTGATTTATAAAATCAGGCAGCTTGTTGGATTTGACTTGCAGGTTGTATTTTGATGACCCCTTTTTAAAAGGATGCAGGGTGGTGGTCTCTACCATATTGCCATTTTATTCTCCAATTTGGCCCTTGAATAAACCAGATGAATCCATAAAATTAAAAACTATGACAAACTCAATAAAATCATTTTTCCAAATGCAGCTGCTGAGTCTAACAGGGTATCATTGTTAGAGAAGATTAAGAAGGCCTCGGGAACATAGCAGGCAGCCATTTCTTTGTCACACATATTCTTTTCTATTTATATTTGAGAGAAGAGGGTCAGTAACAATTTGCTTTTACATTGGATAGAAAACAGTATGCATATTTACTTTTGGTTTCAACCCAAGACTATGTTAAGTCTCCTGCCTTCTGTCACAATATAGTCCAAAGACATCTGGAATACATTGAACAGAACATGATATTGATCCATTACTTCAGTGACATCATGCTGATTGGATAGGATAGGAAGGAGTCGATTGCTCATCCTGGAGGCCTTTATAAGACACAGTACACCACAGGGTAGGAGATAAACCTTTTGAAGATTTAGGAACCCCATCCTCTTCATGTAGACTTTAGAGGTGCAGTGGTCAGAGGCATGCCCTTCAAAGTAAAAGACAAATAGCTGCATCTTTTTTATTACAAAGAAGAAAGCATAAGATCTGGCAGGCCTCATTCAGTTCTGGAGGTAACACATTCCATTCCATACATATATGCTCTGGCATATATGCTTGGTTATACATAAGATTTCCAGCTTTTATTGGGACCTGTGGCAGGTCCAGGTTGTGTGAAAAGTTCCTCTGTCCCTTGTGCTATGTAATTTGGAAGACTCTATGTTATTGGAGGTGTAGTTTTGGGAAAAGATATAATGTGGAGTTTACGGTGAGCTGCAAAAGGAGAATCACTACATAGGCCACAGAGATTTTAGACCAAGAATATACCATTCACAGTAGAGAATTATGTGCCTTTTGAGAAACAGCTCCTGGCATGTCACTGGACCCTGATAAAGATGGAACGCTATGCAAACAGGTATCAAGTGACCATGCATCTGGAACTCTTAATTATGAGCTGGGTTTTGTTAGACCTACAAAGTCATAAAATTGGACAGGCCCAGCACCAGCTTATCTGCGATTGGATATCTGGGATTGAGTTAAAGCGGATCAGAGGTCATAAGTAACTGCCTTATGGAAATGGTATATCTGGGATTGAGTTAAAGTGGATCAGAGGTCATAAGTAACTGCCTCAGCAGGTAAACTGAAGTTCTGTTTAATCCAACACAGTTGCATCAGCTCCCCTAATCTAGCTTTCACCTATTGCCTTATGATCTTATCCTATATGACCAGGTGAAGGAGGAGCAATAGCCCTGGGCTTGGTTTATGGATAGGTCAGTTCAGTATGTTGCTGAAAGCAAAAAATATATGGTACCTGCATTATAGCCATATGCAGGGTGGTTAACAAAAAAATGAGAGAAAAGAAATCATCCTATCAGCCAGGGACTATAAGTGGTATGCCTGGCTATATCTACTTTGTATGAAATAAAACATAGCCTGAGGTAAGAATGTACATAGATTCCCAGGCGGTGACCAATGGCCAGGACAATTCATCAGGAGCCTGAAAGGGGAAAGATTAGAAACAAAGAGGTCTGGGGTAAAGGTGCATGTGATTGGATAAATGGGAGTAGGCACACTCAGAATGTTTTACTGAGACATATTGATGTCTCATCTTGTCATTTTTGCCTACTGCACTATTTAGTGCCTCTTCCATGGTAGATGCTTCCTGGAGGGCATTAATATAGATTTAAAAATATTTTCTTTAAGATAGATTTATAAGAACAAACTTATTACCAGGAGGTACTACAATACCACACCTGCTGATGACACTATGGTCTTATTCAATAGCATTTCCCATCTTTTTGAGGAAATCTTTATTCACAAATATTCTAGACATCAACAGGCTTCAGAAGTGGCCATGAGCAAGACCATCAAAGAATAGCTTTTTGACTTGTAGCCCTAACCCTAGTGGTTGCTGTTTCCAACATTGGCAATTTCTGACTGTGGTCCATGAGCAACAGCAGATGCTATTGAATAATACCACAGCTTCATCAGAGGATGTAGCATTGTAGTACCTCCTGGTAATGTTTGTTTTAGTAAATCTATCTTAGAAAAAGATTTGTAAATCTATGTTAGTGCCCTCCAGGAAACAACTACCATGGAAGAGGCACTAAATAACCCAGTAGGCAAAAATTCTTTAGCTAGTTGATATCCCCAGGCTTTATTATCACACACCCTGGAACTATAATGATGAGCACATGAATGGAGTAGCCACAAGGCACTATATATTTTCTCAACAGCACAGACTCCCACTTACCAAAGCTGACCTAGCTACTGCTTCCTCTGATTGGCCAACCTGTGAGAAATACAGAATAATGCTGAGTCACCAACATGGCACTATTCTCAGAGTAGACCAACTGGCTACTTAGGGATGAATCAACACACCCTGGAACTATAATGATGACCACATGAATGGAGTAGGCACAAGGCACTGAATATTTTCTCAACAGCATAGACTCCTACTTACCAAAGCACATTGAGCTCTTTTCATCCAGGAAGAGTCAGCAATTCATTCTTTAGATATCTATTCTAGATATGAGTTTGCCTTTCTTACCCATAGTACCACTATTAAGGTTCTTATGTAATGCCTGCTTTACAGGTATGAAATAGAAAAAAAGCATTTCATGAGGGGACCCACTACACAGCAATCCAGATGTAAGGATGGGGTCTTGTCACTACTGGATCTGCTGATTGTATTATATGCCATTCCAGCCAGAAGAAGCTAGCTTCAGGAGCACTGTAACAGCTTTCTAAAGGCACAGCTGAAGAGTCAGTTTGGAGGCAACACTGAAAGAATGGGGTATCATCCTTTAGGATGTGGTATGTACAATACATAAGAGGCCTTTATATGGACTGCATTCTACATAGAAAGAATATATGGATCCAGGAACCACAAGGTTAGAAGTAGGAGTGATGCCACACATTAACACTCTCAATAACCTACCAGTAGTTTTAACACATCACTATCAGCTAGATAGTGTTTTCTGTTATCCTCTAGATGAACACATTGAGTAGAGAAGGATGTTTGAATTCCCTGATTTTGCTGCTTCCTATTCTCTCCTGACATTCATATCCTTGCTGATCATTCTCAGGCACTGTTTCTTATAAATACCTCTACATGGCCCTTAAATTCCCCTTTGTTGATAATGGAATTGTATATTACCCCTGCCAAGCAGGCACTTTAGTGGTAGGGTGTTATTGGGCCATCCTTCCAAGATTCTACTAATAATGTGGTAGTCTTCAGGCAACAGAAAAGAAGACATAGATTCTCTTTTTTCTGAAAGCTCAGCTCTCTGGAGCCATGTTTATAATGAACTATTGGCTTCCTAAGTCTTTGAAGAAGATATGATTTGTGCTCCTTGGGGTTCAGTAACAGAAATCTAATGCCTGAATATGTTCAGAAAATTTCAGCAAGTTCCTATGGGAGCCTCCCCAGGCCTCCTGCAGTGTGCTTCTTTGATAAGCCAACAAGGAGATGAACATCTGCTAACAACTGCTTTACTTTCAGTACTTGCTAAGAGGAGTTATGTCTTTAGTCTTAATTGTCAAGGAAAGAGGAACAGACACATGGAGATACCTTTCAGGGGATTACTTTATTTTCTGAAGTTTTGGACTCAACAGAAAATGGAAGAGAAGGGGTGACAGAGAAGGAAAAAATGGTAACATTTAATAAGTGCTTACTCTGTGCCAGTCACCATATTATCTAATTTAACTTCCACATATGCCTTGATAAGTGGCATTATGATTAATTTAAGCTAAGATATACATAAGGGAGTAGTAGGGGAATAATATAAAGTGTTTTAAAATAAATCTTAAATGATGTGGCTTAGATGGTAAAGGCCATAGTAGTTTAGGGAACAACTGGGGAAGTGGAAAGAGATTGTATTTAGTGTCAGATGTTATTGAAACTGGCTGTAAGGGACTGAACCTTAAAGGAAAAATATTTGTGCCTAGGAAAATTTATGAGACCCTCCTATGTGAGCACAGGAGACCAGATCACAACACCAAAGTCATAATGAGTTTCTTTATGTGGGTTAAAAACTAATAGGGAAAAAAAATCTCATCTCTGCTATGTCATGACTGAAGGCAAGTATATTAGTTAAGATTGGGCTTATGTATACATTAAAGAAAACCAAAACAATAGTTGCTTTAAAAAATATAAGGAATTATTTTCTCACATGGAGAAAGGTCTAGATGCGTGTATTTCTAGACGTGTGTCCCTTCATGAAGTCATCAAAGATTTAGGCTCCTTCTGTTTTTCTGATCTACCATCCATAGCTCTTGGCTCTATCCTCAAGGGTCATTTCATAGCTTAAAGGTGGATGTAGCAGCTCCAGCTATTCTGTTCCAATGTCAGGTAGCAGGAAGGAGAAAGGAAAGAAGAAAGGTGAAGGGCACACCTTCCAATTGAGTCAGCTGCGTTTAAAGATATTTTACCTAGAAATTTTACCAAGTGACTTCCTCTTACATTTGATTGGCTACCACTATTTGGGAAATAGAGTTGTTTCATATTTTAGCTGTACACAAGCTACCCTCAACAGAATCAGTGCTGTGTTACTAAAGAAGAAGAGAAGACATTCAATAGGCAATTAGAAATCTCTCTTGCAGCAGACATTAGTTTGCTTCTTAAGATCCCTGTCAGCCTTCTAATTTTATGATTAAGAAATAATATGAGCTAACACATTTAAGCATTTATTATGTGCCAGGCATGGTGCTAAATGCTTTGAAGGGTTTTAATTTAATACAGTAACCACAATTACCTTATAAAGGGGTGTTGTTTTCCTTCAAAGAAGGAATATTCAGCATATACTTACTGAGTGTTAAAAATGATGGTGATGATGGTAATTATGATGATGATAATAATAATTTAAAATGTCTCACATTTATTGAATGCTTATAGTATAGTTGTTACTGTGCTAAGGGCTTTTAATTCTATGCACACCTCACATCACATGTGTACACACACACACACACACACACACACACACTCTCTCTCATCAAAACTATATGAAGTAAAAGTTTTATTCTCATTCTACAGATGAGAAAAATGGGACCCCAACCGTGTGAGTAACTTGCCCAAAAGTCCACAGCTAGTCAGCGGCAGAGCCAAGACTATCATTAAGCCTATCTCATGGCAAAGCTCTTTCTTTTAACCATTATGCTGTACTTTAGGCCCTGCACAAGGGATATGGTGTTTAAAAGTGGTAGTCCTAGTCCTTGACCTTGAGGAGCTCACAATCCAGCTAATTGACACTTACATAATCTATGTCATATAAACAATTGCATTCTCATTTCACAACACTGTATTTTTGGTTTGTCAGATTGTAATGAGACCACAGAATTTAACTGGAATGTTCAGGGGAAATGGATTTATAGTCTTGGTCTTTGGACCAAATTTAGTAGCAGAACCATCCGGGTAAAAGGACCTTGTAAATTTGAGGCATTAGTACTATTAATGTTTAAAATTTAATCAACCTGCTAGACTCAGTGAGCAAACAGATAAAAGGGTAGTTAAATTAAAGGGTTAAAATGCCAGGAAAGAAGAAGCATCTGAGAGACTTGATATAGATATTGTTTGGAGATATCTGAATCTAAATACTGCTTTCTGAAGCTGATTTTGGTTTTAGAATCAAGGAATCTCAGTGTTTGTAAAAATTTCCTTATAATGGAAATGATTACATTTTTAAGGTAAATTCTTCCAACATGGTAATGAAAACCATGCATAAAAAAAGGGCAGAGACAGCAAAGCAGCAATAATTTGTATGTTTTCTCACTTCGGGCAATTCCAAACCTTTGTGGAGCGATCACCAGCAGCTGCATAACTTCTTAGGAAACCACAGGCCAAGGAAGAGCTGACAAGTATATGTTGCATCTATTTCTCTTTCCCTGTATGGTCTCTGCACTTAAACTAAGTTTCTGTATCCTTCAGTAATTAAATCAGTAATATAATCTAATTTGAGAGAGAGAGTGTGTGTGTGGTTTTTTCCTGCGAATCTGTATTTGACCTGAAATACTGCAGAGGAATTGAGTGGGGAGAAATAGGAATCTGAAAAGATATCACCAAGGGGGTTGCATTTGAACTGGATCAGGAGCATAAAAAAGAATTCATAAGATGAAAAGAGGAATGGAATTCAAAACAAAAGGAATAGCATAAGCAAAGGGAATGAAGCACAAAATATCATGGCAATTGAAGATAATCATAACAAAGATGATGATGGCTCGCATTTTCTGAGCGTTTTATATGTGAATGGCATTATTGGTAGGTAATTTTTAATGATTTTCGAATTTGATCTTTACAATGACCCTGCAAGGTAGGCATTATTATTCCCATTTTTCTTTTTTTTTTTTTTTTTTTTTTTTTTGAGACGGAGTCTCGCTCTGTCGCCCAGGCTGGAGTGCAGTGGCGGGATCTTGGCTCACTGCAAGCTCCGCCTCCCGGGTTCACGCCATTCTCCTGCCTCAGCCTCCCAAGTAGCTGGGACTACAGGCGCCCGCCACTACGCCCGGCTAATTTTTTGTATTTTTAGTAGAGACGGGGTTTCACCGTTTTAGCCGGGATGGTCTCGATCTCCTGACCTCGTGATCCGCCCGCCTCGGCCTCCCAAAGTGCTGGGATTACAGGCGTGAGCCACCGCGCCCGGCCAACATTATTATTCCCATTTTTCAAACTAGAAAACTGAGGCATAAAAAGATGAAGTAACTATCAAAATTCTTACACCTAATAACTCCATAGCCAAGGTCTTTTTGATGCTGAAACCTATGTTTTTTTGATTATGCACACTTAAGTCTGGCTACACTGTGGAGTGGTAGGTTAAGAATGCTTAAAAATCACATAGCTACCAGAGGAAAGACTACCAGAATAACAATATGACTTACAGAATCAAACTTGACATTGCTTCAGCAAGCCACATAGTAAGTAAAATAAATCCTTCACATCCTAGAGGTTCAATGGGACTTGGATCTAGCAATACTTCTAGATTCATTAGTGGCATTTCTTGAGTCTTTTCCATTCAGGATACAGATAGTTTGATGAGAATGTGACAGATGGAGAAAGAGTATAAAGGACTGAAGAGAACAGTAATGTGCCTTTTATTAGTTTCCAAATCTCTGTCCTCTTGGCAGTCAATTACTAACAGAGACAGGAGAAGGAATTCTGTGCAGTCAAACTGAAACTGTGAAATCCACACACAGATTGTATCATACCTTGGAGTGGTTAATGTGCCCTGACATGTAGGAAAGGCAAATGTGGTGCCCCTAGAAACCTGGGGGCAACTGCCTATGTAAAAAGTAAAGTAGAGGTTCCTCTTCAAAGACTTTCCTCCCCATCTAATTAGGAATAAATAGTAACTTCTCTTAGAAGCAAAATTTATTCAAAGACCTGTGCTAATATTCTTAATTATCTGCTAGCTGTAATAAAGAAATCAATGTACTTTATGTTCTTAGCTCCCACAATTTAGCCTAAATATTTGGCCTGGCATGCTTATAGTGGTCCAAGCAAGCATTAGGTCATAGCCTGTTCCTCTTCCTTATTTGAAGGTGTTTTTACCTTTCTCAGCATTCCACAAGTTACTTCCTCCTTCCTTTGTTCTCCTCTGCCTTTGCCTCTTTTAAAAAGTTCTAGTTTGATAGCCAATCGGGACAAATACAGAATGTGAGTTCCCGTTCCAGCCAATGGAAACCGGACACAGCAGTAGTGTGGACGCATCAAGTTATAAATGACCCTGTCTCCTTTGTTGGGTGTACTCTCATGGCCAAACTGCTGGTGAGTGTACCCTTTCTGCAGAAAGTAAAAATGGCCTTGTTGAGGAAATTAAATTTATGTTCAAGTACTATTTCTTTACGGCACAAAGGAACAAGCATTTCTAACACCTAGATAAAAGAAGTGAAAAAATTTTGTCATTCTGGCGTGGCATGGGGTGCTTTGGGAATAGACAACATTCATATAAATGTTACTGCAAACATGTCATTTTGGTGCTAGAGCACTAGCTTTGTAGGCAGTAAAATAATGGGTTGTCCAAACTATTAACAATGTATCTAGATAACATTGTAATTACCTACAAGGTTTTGGCTTAATGCTATAACTCTGATACAGAAAATAACTTAATCAAGTAATTTTGAAAAAAAAAAGGTTGATTTGGTTACATAAAAGTAAAAATATTTAAATTATCCTTAGCATGTGTACTTTCTACTATTAAATTTTAGGGAGAAGGGACCTAATATTGACCTGTTATTCACCAGGCACTTGACTGGGTGATTTATATTTATTATTTTGTTTAATCCTTGCACTGTGTGATAGGTAGTTACGATTTTCCTCATATATAGGTGTGAAAAGTGAACCTGAGCAAACTTTTCCTTTTCCAAGGTTATATACATAATATAATTCAAAACCTTGGTCAAATGGTATTTTTGGTTCTAGGTCCTTGAAGAATCACCATATTGTCTTCCGCAGTGGTTGAACTAATTGACACTCCCAGCAACAGTGTAAAAGCATTCCTGTTTCTCCACATCCCCTCTAGCATCTGTTATTTCCTGACTTTTTAATGATCACCATTCTAAATGGCATGAGATGGTATCTCATTGTGCTTTTGATATGTATTTCTGTAATGACCAGTGATGATGAGCTTTTTTTTCATATGTTTGTTGGCCACATGAATGTCTTCTTTTGAGAAATGTCTGTTCATATCCTTTGCCCATTTTTGATGGGGTGGTTTGTTTTTTTCTTGTAAATTTAAGTTCTTTGTAGATTCTGGATATTAGCCCTTTGTCAGATGGATAGATTGCAAGATTTTTCTCCCATTCTGCAGGTTGCCTGTTCACTCTAGTAATAGTTTCTTTTGCTGTGTAGAAGCTCTTTAGTTTAATTAGATCCCATTTTTCTATTTTGGCTTTTGTTGCCATTGCTTTTGGTGTTTTAGTAATGAAGTCTTTGCCCATGCTTATGTCCTGAATGGTATTGCCTAGGTGTTCTTCTAGGGTTTTTATGGTTTTAGGTCTTAGGTTTAAGTCTCTAACCCATCTTGAATTAATTTTTGTATAAGATGTAGGGAAGGGGTCCAGTTTCAGTTTTCTGCATGTGGCTAGTCAGTTTTCCCAAAACCATTTATTAAATAGGGAATCCTTTCCCCATTGCTTGTTTTTGTCAGGTTTGTCGCAGATCAGATGGTTGTAGATGTGTGGTGTTATTTCTGAGGCCTCTGTTCTGTTCCATTGATCTATACATCTGTTTTGGTACCAGTACCATGCTGTTTGGGTTACTGTAGTCTTTTAATATAGTTTGAAGTCAGGTAGTGTGATGCCTCCAGCTTTGTTTTTTTTAGCTTAGGATTGTCTTCGCTATACAGACTCTTTTTTGGTTCCATATGTAATTTAAAGTAGTATTCTCTAATTCTGTGAAGAAAGTCAATGGTAGCTTGATGGAGATAGCATTGAATCTATAAATTACTTTGGGCACTATGGCCATTTTCACGATATTGATTCTTCCTATCAATGAGAATGGAATGTTTTTCCATTTGATTGTGTCCTCTCTTATTTCCTTGAGCAGTGGTTTGTAGTTCTCCTTGAAGAGGTCCTTCACATCCCTTGTAAGTTGGATTCCTAGGTATTTTATTCTCTTTGTAGCAATTGTGAATGGGAGTTCACTGATGATTTGGCTCTCTGTTTGCCTATTATTGGTGTATAGGAATGCTTGTGGTTTTTGCACATTGGTTTTGTATCCTGAGACTTTGCTGAAGTTGCTTATCAGCTTAAGAAGATTTTTGGCTGAGACGATGGAGTTTTCTAAATATATTATCATGTCATCTGCAAACAGAGACAATTTGACTTCCTCTCTTCTTATTTGAATACCCTTTATTTCTTTCTCTTGCCTGATTGCCCTGACCAGAACTTCCAGTTCTATGTTGAATAGGAGTGGTGAGAGAGGGCTTCCTTGTCTTTTGCCAGTTTTCGAAGGGAATGCTTCCAGGTTTTGCCCATTCAGTATGATATTGGCTGTGGGTTTTTCATAAATAGCTCTTATTATTTTGAGATATGTTCCATCAATACCTAGTTTATTGAGAATTTTTAGCATGAAGCGGTGTTGAATTTTATCGAAGGTATTTTTGCATCTATTGAGATAATCATGTATTTTTGTCATTGCTTCTGTTTATGTGATGTATTACGTTTATTGATTTGCATACGTTGAACCAGCCTTGCATCCCAGGGATGAAGCCAACTTGATCATGGTGGATAAACTTTTTGATGTGTTGCTGGATTTGATTTGCCAGTATTTTATTGAGGATTTTTGCATTGATGTTCATCAGGTATATTGGCCTGAAATACTCTTTTTTTGTTGTTGTGTCTCTGCCAGCTTTTGGTATCAGGATGATGCTGGCCTCATAAAATGAATTAGGGAGGAATCCCTCTTTTTCTATTGTTTGGAATAGTTTTAGAAGGAATGGTACCACCTCCTCTTTGTACCTCTGGTAGAATTTGCCTGTGAATCTGTCTGGTCCTGGGCTTTTTTGGTTAGTAGGCTATTAATTACTGCCTCAATTTCAGAATTTGTTATTGGTCTATTTAGGGATTCGACTTCTTCCTGGTTTAGTCTTGGGAGGGTGTTTGTGTCCAGGAATTTATCCCATTACTGAGCATATACCCAAAGGATTATACATCATTCTCCTGTAAAGGCACATCCACACATGTTTATTGCAGCACTGTTTGCAGTAGCAAAGACTTGGAACCAACTCAAATGCCCATTAATGATAGACTGGAGAAAGAAAATGTGGCACAGGTATACCGTGGAATACTATCCAGCCATAAAAAAGGATGAGTTCATGTTCTTTGCAGGGATATGGATGAAGCTGGAAACCATAATTCTCAGCAAACTAACAGAAGAACAGAAAACCAAACACCACATGTTCTCACTCATAAGTGGGAGTTGAACAACGAGAACACATGGACACAGGGAGGGGAACATCACACACCAGGGCGTGTCGGGTGTTGGGAGGCTGGGGGAGGGATAGCATTAGGAGAAATTCTGAATGTAGAAGACGGGTTGATGGGTTCAGCAAACTGCCATGGCACATGTATACCTATGTAACAAACCTGCATGTTCTGCACATGTATTCCAGAGCTTAAAGTGTAATATGAAAAACAAAACAAAACAAAACAAAACCGAAACCTTGGTCTGTCAAACTGGACTGTCTATTATTTAGCAAAAATTGTATACCGATAACATCTTTCTTTCTTATCTCCTGTTGTTTTTATCTGTACCTGTAGCTACATTATAAAGTGAATGAAGACAAAGACTAAATATGACTCATTTATCAAATATTTTCTGAGTGCACATCATGTGATAGGTACTATGATAAGGGCACTATTGGCCTGGACTTTAAAGTCAAGGTACAGGTTATACATGTAGATATGGAAGTAGGATAACAGAACATTTTAGGCAATTTTTGTTGTTGTAAGAACATAAACTTTAGAATCACACAAGCCTGTATTTTGTCTCATGGAGTTTACATTCTAGTGGGGAAAGAAGACAGTATACAAATATTAATAATTAAGTAAAACATGTAAGATGGTAAAAAGTGCTATGGAGAATAATAGTCCAGTAAGAGGACTAGAGGGTATAGGGATGGAGATTACACTTTTTAAATAGTGTATACAGGGAATATCTCACTGAGAAGGTGGAACTTGTGCAAATATCTGAAGATGAACCACCTGCAGGGCTATCTGAGGGCAGAGCATATGAAGCAGAAGACACAGGGGCAAAAGTCTTGAGTGATAGCATGACTGACATACGTATTTTAGGAAAGCAAGGAGGGCAGTATAGCTGAAACAGAGTGAGTGAGGGAAATATTAATGGAAGATGAGGCTAAAGAGGTAATAGAGTCAAGATCATGTTGGGACTTCTGGGCCAATGTAAGCGCTTACAATGGCTGAAATGGAAAAAATATTGGAGAGTTGTGAATCCTGGAGTGGCACCATCTGATTTACATGAATTGCCCTCTATGTAGAAAATGTACAATAGAAGAATAAATAGAAACAGAGTAGCCAGTTAGGAAGCAATTGAAATAATCCTGACAAGAGATTATGGTGGTTTGAACCGGATAGTACCAGTGGAGGTGATGAGTAGAGATTCTGGGAATATTTGGCAGTATAACCAATAGATTCGTTGATTGGATTTGGGTGTGAGATAATGAAATGAGTCAAGGATGGCATCAAAGTTTTTTATCTGAACCTCTGGTGTCATGAAATTGCTGCTAATGAAATAGGAAAGACTCATAAGAAGCAAGTTTGAGAGGAAAGATAAGGAGCCTAGGTTTTGGATATGTCTAGTTTGGGATACTTATTAGACATCTAAGTAAAGATATTGAATAGGCAGTTGGATAAGTGAGTCTGGAGTTCAAGGAAACATTTGAGCTGAGTTATAAATTGGAAGCCATCAATGTACACCTATGGTATTCAAAGCCATGTGACTGGTTGAGGAGCTTACCAGAAAAGTGAGTGTATTTTCAGAAGATAAAATGTGCAAGGACTGAGCCCTGAGGAGAATATATTTAGAGATCAAAGAATCCTACAAAAGATTTTTGAGAAAGAGCAGCCAGTAAAGCCAGAGGAAAACCAGAACAGTATAATATAGTAAAACCAAATGAAGAAAATGTTTCAAGGAGAACAGAGTGATCTACTGTGCCAAAGCCTGCTTTTAGGTCAAGTAAATTGAGGGATGTGGATTGATTATAGGTTTAGAAATGTGGAGGATGTTGGGGATCTTGACACAAGCAGTTTCAGTAGAATGGTGAGCTAAAGCTTGTGACTTGATTACGTCTAAGAGAATTGATGTGAAGATTAAATGATATAAAGAATATGAAGTATATGACACAATGCCTGGCACATGGTGGTACTACTTTACATATATTCCTCCTTCCCACCACCTTTTCTCCTCGAGAAAGAGCATGATCAAAGGCAGTGAAATAGGATATAAAAGGGTATGTAAAGAAATAACAGTTTAATTTTGGAGAGAAAATAGACTATGTGAGTGGTAAGATGAGGAATAGGCTACAGTGAATACATTGTGTGCCCAGCTAAATAGTGGGAGCTTTTCTTTTCTAGCTAAGGGAGATCCATTGAAGATTTGAGATCAGGAAAAGTGTCATTAAAAGTGCCATATTTCCTTGTATCCTCCATAGTGCTTTGCACATAGGTAGTATTAAGAGGATTTATTGATTTAAATGACTTGGATCTAAATAATTTAAATAATCTACAAAAGGATTCTGATTGACCCAGAGAGAACCCAAATGCTCCAAGTGCCCTTTCCTTTTGAATTGTGTTGATACTGTGTTCATTCGGCTATGACTCTTTTATCCATTTTTTTTCTCAGTATATTTGCTTTGGTGCTTTATGAAATTCAACATAAATCTCTGTATGAGAAGATTATTTGGCAGAGTTCTCTAACATCAGGAATTAACTACAAACTGTCGGCATATCTGGCAGCTGTCTCATCTCTTCATATTTCTATATAATCCTTTAAAATCAGATACCTTACCATCCAATAATTCAGAACATTTTATGTGATTTATAAATTGAGATCATCTCTCCAACCTTTTGGAAAATTTGGATCTGTGAATTTAAGATGTATTTCCCAGTGCTCTTTTAAACCATTTTGTCCCTTCCATAATTGTTTGTCCTGAAGTATATTCTCTTTTCTAGCTGAGTTTTCTGTTCTAGCATATAGACAAGTTCCATGACCTTGTCATCAGTCTGTCAGGAGATTTATACTGCCTCCTTTGCCCTCTCCTTTGGAAGACAGAAATACAGCCAAACTTCTATGTAGGTTTATTGTCAGAGTAAGATTTTTATGGGAAGCATCATAATGCAGTGAAAAGAGCTATAGATTAGGATGTATAAGATTTGGACTGTTAACCCCAGAAGTGCTACTGTGTTACTGATGTGTTGGGTGGCTTCTCTCAAGGTACTAAATTGTTCTATATCTCAATTTTCTTATATAAAAAACAAGGGAGTGTGATTAAATGGTGTAAATCACTCATTTATTATACAAATGTTTTCTCAGTGTCTGTTTTGTGCCAGACCTTACTAGGAGTGCTAATATGAATAAAATATACTTTCTGCCCTTGAGGCACTTGTACACCTTAAGGTTGATACAGAAAAAAATGTAATATAAAACAGTTACATAAAAGAGGTATGCAAAGATGGGAGTATAGTGTAGTAGCACAAGTGAATGGTAACTAATGAACTAGAGTGATCAGGAAATGCTTCCAAAAGGACATAACCAATCTTAAACTGAATTTTGAAAAATGAGTTGGACTGGAATTCTTTTTATACACTGTGGGTGGGAGTATAAATTGGTACAACTGCTTTTGGAAAAATACTATAAAAGTACTACTAGAGGGAACATACATATGCCTTTTGCTCTTGTATATAATGCCAGTTTTTCAGTCCCGGTAATGTATACAAATATTCTCCAAAGATATGTAAAATATTTTTACTGGTACTTTTTTCATAGTCAAATTTTGGAAATTATTCAAATGGCTATAAATCATATAATTGACACATTGTGTTACCTCATACCATGGAATACCATACAGCATTGAGAATGAGTGAACTGTAAGTAACTACATGTAACAACATGGAAGAATCTCACAAAAACAATATTGAGAGAAGGGGGCCAGAAAAAAAGAGTATATACCATATGATTCCATTCATATAAAGTTAGAAACAACAAAACTAGTCTATAGTATTAAAATTCAGGATAGTGGTTATCCTTGGCAGGAAGGTAGTGCCCAAAAAGAGGCCTCTGCAGTGCTGTTTATATTCTGTTTCTTGAAATGAGGGGTACATATACAGGTGTGCTGGGTTTCTTTAAAAAATCAAGATATGTATCTGTAATTCGTGCAATTTTATGCATATATGATGTATTTTAATACAAGTTTTACCAAATGTGTTTGTCAAGATCATAGCAAACAAGTGTGTTCTAAACAGAAAAAAAGAGCATGAACAAAGGGAGCAAGTATTAAAGAACATATTTTCCATTTCTCACATGCTGTGATTCTAATATTCTTTTTTTAAATTTCAACTTTTAGGTTTAGGACAGCAATCCCCAAGCTTTTTGGCACCAGGGACCAGTTTTGTGAAAGACAGTTTTTCTATGGACTGGGATGGGGGGATGGTTTTGGGATGATTCAAGCACATTACATTTATTGCACACTTTATTATTATTATGTTGTAATACATAATGAAATAATTATGCAGCTCACCATAATATTGAATCAGTGGAAGCCCTGTACTTGTTTTCTTGCAACTATATGGTCCCATCTGGGGGTGATGGGAGACAGTGACAGATCATCAGGCAGTAGATTCTCATAAGGCATTAGATTCTCATAACCTAGATCCCCTGCACATGCAGCTCACAATAGGGTTTGTACTCCTATGAGAATCTAATGCTGCCACTGATCTGACAGGAGGCAAAGCTCAGGCAGTAATGTGAGTGATAGTGAGTAGCTGTAAATACAGATGAAGCTTCACTCGCTTGCCTGCCGCTCACCTCCTGCTGTGTGGCCTGGTTCCTAACAGGGAATGGCCTGGTACCGGTCCATGGCCTGGAGGTTGAGAAACCCTGGTTTAGGTGATACATGTGCAGGTTTGGTACATTGGTATATTGTGTGATGCTGAGGTTTGGGGTATGAATGATCCTGTCACCTGGTACTGAGTGTGGTACCCAATAGGTAGTTTTCAGCCCTTACCCCACTCTTTTCCTCCCCCATCTAGTAGTCTCCAGTGTCTGTTGTTCCCATCTTTGTGTCCATGTGTACCTAGTGTTTACCTCACACTTATAAGTGACAGCATGCAGTATTTGGTTTTTTGTTACTGAGTTAATTCACTTAGGAAAATGACCTCCAGCTGCATCCATGTTGCTGCAGAATACATGATTTCATTCTTTTTTATGATTGTGTAGTATTCCATGATGTATATGTACATTTTCTTTATCCAGTCCACCACTGATGGGCATCTAAGTTGATTCCATGTTTTTGCTATTGTGAATAGTGTTGCAAATGCCCATAAAGGTGCATGTGTATTTTTGGTAGAAGGATTCATTTTCCTTTGGGTCTATACCCAGCAATGGGATTGCTAGGTCAAATGGCAGTTGTATTTTAGGTCCTTTGAGAAACCTTCAAACTGCTTTCCAAAGTGGTTGAACTAATTTAATTTACATTCCCACCAGCAGTGTATGTTTTCCCTTTTCTCCACAACCTTGGCAGCATCTGTTATTTTATGACTTTTTAATACATAGCCATTCTGACAGGTGTGAGATGGTATCTTATTGTGGTTTTGATTTGCATTTCTCTAATGTTTAGTGATGTTGAGCATTTTTTCATGTTTGTGGGCCACTTGTATGTATTCTTTCGAAAAGTATCTGTTCATGTCCTTTGCCCACTTTTTAATTGGATTATTAGTGTTTGCTTGTTTGATTTGCTTAAGTTCCATATCGTTTCTGGATATTAGAATCTATCCTGAATATTAAAATCTTTGTCAGATTTAATATTCATTTTTTTCATTTTTCATTCATAACAAAAGTTGACGCCTACTGTGTGATACTATTTTCTTTAAATTGTAAATATTGTGAAAATAGTAATAAAAATAAATTTCTGGCTTTTAAAATCCAATTAATTACTTATATAAACGAGATAAAACAACAAGAATAACAGCAGCTTTGCTTGACTGTGAGCTTCCTGCAATGACTGTGTTTTAAATATTTTTGCCTCACTATTACTCTGCATAGGGGCTTTCAAACAAGCATCCACCAAGTGTTAAATTAAAGGATTAGGTCACCATCTGCAATACACACATAGAAAAAATAAAAAGGCACATTTATCATAGATTTGGAAGATTTCCAAAGGAGTTGGGATGATTGAAGTAAGTTTGTTAACCTATAAAATCTCATTTTGCATAGCACTTTAACTATATAAGGCTTTTAACTTTCTCAGACACATATTTTTTTCTGGCATCTTTCTCCATGCAGTAGTAAGGAAAAATTATGTATAAAATATATTGGAAAGTAATTGCTAAAATGATCATGATATTCAACACTTTAAGATGGTCTAGTGTATTGTATTTTTAAAAATATTTCCTGAGAAATTAGGACAATAACAAGGTCAAATTCTAGGCTTTAGAACCTGAACAATGTATTTTCTTCCTACTTGAGATTTTACATCTACTCCTTATTCAGATTCATTGACCTTCAGTATAAAGTATGCCATTCCATTGTCTTAGTGTTTGGTAATAGCAAGAGTCTACCTCTAAGAATATGGTTGATACTGGCCGGGCGCGGTGGCTCACGCCTGTAATCCCAGTACTTTGGGAGGCCGAGGCAGGCGGATCACGAGGTCAGGAGATCGAGACCATCCTGGATAACATGGTGAAACCCTGTCTCTACTAAAAATACAAAAAAAATTAGCTGGGCATGGTGGCGGACGCCTGTAGTCCCAGCTACTTGGGAGGCTGAGGCAGGAGAATGGCTTGAACCCAGGAGGCAGAGTTGCAGTGAGTTGAGATTGCGCCACTGCACTCCAGCCTGGGCAACAGAGTGCGACTCCATCTCAAAAAAAAAAAAAAAAAAAAGAATATGGTTGATACCTAAATATCCACTGGGCTATTCACCGTGTTTTAGATATTTTCCATTTGTCCCTCTAGATCCATTCTTCTCTCTTTTCCACCTTGCTTAGTGCCCCATGACGCTGACTTTTATGGACTTAATCAGCAAATTCTCTTATATTCTGGCTTACAGTTGAGTGCCAATGAGAGGCACTAGGAGGAGATAACAGGGTGGGAAAAGAATGAGTTTGAGATTTTTATTTCTTTTCTCTTAAAGCGACATTTACATTCTCCAGGTTTTGGTAACTACTCTCTCCCCATGGCACTTCATGCTTATAGAGCCTTAGGTGAGCCTCAACCTCCATTGGAGAAAGATAACAGCTTTCATCTGTTGCTAGAGCTACAGTACTTCCTTATCCCTGGTTGGTTTTCCAATTCTGTTCACACCTTTGTAAATAGTCCATTTATTAAATTCTTTTTGTTTATTATTTTATTTGAATTTGCCATCTATTTCCAGCCAGACCCCGAGTGATATGCTAGACTAGGTTTGGGTATGGTTTTGGTTTGTATCTTAGTCAATTCCTGCTACTATAACAAAATATCTTAGACTGGGTCATTTATTAAGAGATATTTATCGCTCACAGTTCTGGAGGCTGTGAAATCCAAGCTCAAGGTTCCAGTAGGTTCAGTGTCTGGTAAGGACCTCTTCCTCATAGATGAGGTGTTGTTGCTGTATCCTCACAGGGGAGAAGGGCCAAATAGCTCCGTCAAGCCTCCTTTATAAGGGCACTAGTCCCTTCATGAGAATAGAGCTCACATGATCTAATCACCTTCCAGTGTCTCCATCTCTTAATACCATCACATTCAAGGATTAAATTTCAATACATGAATTTCAGAGGGACACAAATATTCAGATTATAGCAGTTTGGTGTGGCTTTGTTTTCCATGCAGCACTGTGCCAATCTTTCTCTTTCTTCAGGACACAGCTCAAGAGTTACTTCCTCTGAAAAATGGATTTTGGAGTCTGAAAAGTCTACGTTTGAGTTAAACTCCAACACTCCCTAGCTGTGTGGCTTGGGGGCAATTTCTTCATATTTTTGAACTTTAGTTTTCTTCTCTGTAAAAATAGGGAAAATAACACTCCCATGCAAAGTTGTTAGGGTTATTAAATAAGATTATGTCTTTGAAAATTCCTGACACTAAATAGAATTTCTGTTTTTCTTTTCCTCCTTCACATGAGGAATGGCTTACTGGGCATGTTGTGAAGTACTGGGCACACTTCACTATATGCCCAGTATTACTAACTTTATCTTATTTTTATTTTTTATTTTCTATTGCCTGCATTTGCTTACATGTTACTTTGAATCTGTTTCCTAGTTGTTTCACTCTAAATGCCTTGCCTTTTAAAATCTACTCTGAATTTCTTAGGCCAATGGGTCATAGATAAATACTAAAAACAACTGAAAGTTGTGTATATATTTTTAGAATTTATAAAAAAAACTTTAGCATTATGTTTAATTCTTACAACTATGCAAAGGAAGAATATATTATTTCTCTCATTTCACAAATGAAATAACCAAGTCCCAGAGAGCTAAACATCAAATACATATGGACACAAAGCAAACAATAGACACCAGGGCCTACTTGAGGGTATGTGGTGGGGATCGAACAGCTACCTATTGGGTACTATGCTTATTACCTGGGTAATGAAATAATATGTATGTCGACTCCCAGGGACATGAAATTTATCTGTAGAACCAACCTGTACATGTACCCCTGAAACTAAAATAAAAGTTAAAAAAATTACTTAAGATCATAGGGCTAAATAGTCTAGGAAAACATGACTCAATCTTAGGTTGTCAGATTTTAATCCCCTTCTTTTTCTGTTGTACCATAATGACCTTGTTTTTCTTCTTGAGTGCCTTTTTACCCTTTGATTCACATTTACTGAATTCATATTATTTTAAGAGACTGATAAGCCATCTCTATCTTTTTTTCTTCCTCAGCTTTCTTTTTGATGAACTGGTTCTTATTTTTCTTCTTGTCTAATCTCTCTTAATTATTTGTTGGTGATTTTTATTCCTTCTCATCAAATACTTTTCTCCAGAGGCCCTAATGATAAAAACAATAATTATCATAAGTGAAAAACACAGGAAGCTAGCATATGTCCCTATGGATCTGGACTTGAATTCTAGTACTAGGAAATAACTTTTGTTCCTTCTTCAGTCCTGTGCTTGGCTGTTGTCCTTGCATATATCGCCTTGTGGTTACAATGCGGACCTTTTCTGATGTTAGGCAATACAGAAACACTTAATGAAAGACAATGTAATGTAGCAGAAATGACAGTAGCATCAATGGCAGCCAGGTCTGGGTTCAAATCCTGTGTGTACAATTTACTAACTTTGTGACTTTGGGCAAATTAAACTTGGTTTTTAAAATTCAGATTTCTCATTTGTAAAATGGCTGTGGTGGGGGAGGGGTGATGGTAGTGAGGACACCTACCATGCATAGTTCTTGTGATACAATTATACATTATAGTATCTATAAAGAATATATCACACTGTAGATTTTCAATAAATCGTAGTTTCTATTGTTATGCTTACTATTATTATCGTTAGAAGAGCCACAGAAGAACCCTCTTTTTTTTAGTTCTTTTTCAGGCTAGGAGATGCATTTACTGAGGAATAGGATAATAACTGTATTTGGAGTTTGGCCAGGCCATTGCAAAACAGATGTCAAAAGGTACAGGATCTTATAAATGCCAAATATGAAGAATCTCTTTTGTTTTTTCTGCTTTGCTCCTTCTATGATTCATAATGCCTTCCTCTTTGGTGGTGCCAATGACTGGATATTTTAAGGCAATTTGTAGGATTAATCCTTTGTGTACCACAGCAGGCTAAGGCCTGGATGGGACTGGTAATAAGGCAGTCTTTCTCCAGTGGAGGTTGAAATTTACCTAACAAACTCTTTAGGCTCTTTGGGCCCTCATTACAGAGGGCATTACATGCTGAAAGGCTTGTCATGGATGAAAAATTTCTGGTGCCAATGACTTTCTAATTCATTTCTCTTATAGAAGTAAAACAAAAAATTCAGAATAAGATGGGAAAATAGGTACTGAGAGAAGAATTTTTTTAAAAAATATTTGTATTTAATATGAGCAGTGCATTAGAACAGATAATGCCCTCCCAAGCTCCAGACCTTCACTCATGTTGATTCCTTCCCCTTTCTTCCTTTCTTTCTCTACCTAGTGAACTCCTACTGCTCTTTTAAGAACCTACATCAATATTTCTTTTGAAGCTTTGTCATTAGACTGTGAGCCCCTTAAGAGGCAGGGCTATTTTTCTCATCTTTGTACCTGCCCCAGTAACACTGAGTCTGGCACATAAAAGACATTTGACAAGTGAATAAATCTACCCCAAATATTTGAAGATAGTCTCACTTCTCCCCTATTATTCAACCACATTGTCTACTGATTCCCTTAAACACTGTTCTGGAGATTGCTGATTAAATTTGGGTTTTGTACAAGACACAAATACATAATCATGCTACATTCCCAAAGTTCCAAGGGAGTCTATGAGCTATAAAGGAGAAATATGATGTGGGTTGGAGAAGTCAAACTAAATAAGATCTGAATATGAACAGATCTGACACTGTGCCTGGAACTTCTATAACCTTAGAGATCAGTGAGACCCAGCTGATCTTGACTTTAAGGAGACCGTAGTCTTGCTGTATAGACTAAAGACACACTGAAAATTAGAGTGTATTAAAGGCAGACTGTAATTAAGGATTGAAAGAAATATGATAAACTTGCTGAAGTGATTACCAGAGCCACAAAGTCCAGATAATGCCTCCTAGAAGAGGCAAACCTCCAATAAAACTGTAAAGGATGCTCAGGTGGCCAAGGGCAGAAAACTCCAGATAAAGAGAATGGTGTATGCAAAGGAATATTGATGAATATGCAGGGCTCATTTTGAGGACTCTGTGCTGAACTAACTATCTGGATCAAATGAATCATTTAAGAAAGCAGCAGAAAATAGAAAATAAAAATGTAAAGGAAGACTGAGGCTTGAATTCAGGCTAAAGAGTTTTGGATTTACCTAAATAGCAGTCATTGAGAAATAAACTAGCAGTTTAGCCAAATAAAGCTGGATCCTAGGTGTCAGATTGTTTGGGAGAAGTTGGGGCAGCCAGATGACAGGAACATTGCAATTCTTCAGCCTCTCTCAAAGGCATGGTGGTTCTTATGGGTATGGGAGTGTTGGCAAATTAGGGAATGTTTATAATCTTAACCTTTTATTTTATGAATACCACAAACCTTTTATTATATGAATACCACAAAGAAAATATCATTTGAACTGAATTTTGAAGTATGGATAGGAGGAGGTCAAGCTGAGAAATTTTGTGTTTAACATATAGGTAGTTAATGGGAAACAGAGATAAGAGACAGTAAAATGAAATGGAAGGGCCAGATACCATAGCCCAGGCCTCCACAGACCCTTGCCTCCTGTGATGCCATGAATGTGGTAGATTGACTAGATGTAGTCAAATCTTAAATGAAGGGATGTAGAAAGGAAATTAAAGCCCTTTGAGACAAGCAAGTTTTGGGGTTGTTTGGATTCAGAAATACCTAGGCTGGAATCCTGATTCATATTCTTACTTCCTGTGTCATCTTGGATATATCACCTCACCTTTCTGATCTTTGTTTCCTGATGTATAAAATGGGAATAATAATAACAATAAAGCTTAATTTGCTGGGCTGTTATGAGAAATAAATGGATTTGTAAAGAATGTAACACTCAAAGTATGGGAACAAAGAATGAATCAGGACAGGTCCAGTTAAGGGGAGTCTTCAAGACTGAAACAGCTTCAGGCCATATTTCTGTGACCACTCTGAGTACTTTAAAGAGGCTAAGCACTAACGTAAATAGGATCCTGTAAATATAGATCAAACATTCTCATTGACTGTCAAAAATAAGATCGCAGCAGCATTAAGGCACCCAGATGAAACACACGAACACTTATCCACAGTGAAATCTATAAAGTGCTTTCGATTGCTCAGGGGATCTTTAGATATAGCATCATTTTCTCTATCTTATGGATGACTTGACCACCTCTGCTATGAATTTTTCATGATTCCCCTGACCCAGCAGCTCTCGCCTGTGGAGAGAGTAATATGGTATTGATTTTGGAGTTAGATTTCTGCCTTTTTTGCCACAACAGGATTTTTGTAGCCTAGAAACCTCAATCCCCTATTACTCATTAGAGACTAGGGCAACTTTTCTTAGATCTGGAATTCAGAAGGCGAACTATTTAGCTGCTTGTGTCAAAGATAGCCTTTATAGTGTTTATAGTGGAATCTTAACTGAGCTCAAAAAGAGTAGCTGTTATTGAAAAATTCCCTAATTGAATCAGCAGAGGTAGAATTATAGAGAATGCCAAGAAGACAATAGTCTCCTTTATTTCCCTCACAATTAGAATGTTTTCCTAGGCATAGTTTTTTGAATGATCCTATTAAAAATATAACAGAGACTAAAAAAGAATTATAAACACAACAGGGAAATCCAGTTTATCTTTTAGTATTTCGCTTTCTGTATAATTTTTGGAATAGCTGTCTAGGTGGTTCTTATTTTCAGTGGCCCTTGGTCATATAAGAGAAATGAAAAGAGGCCATGATGTTGGTAGTTTTTATTTAAACTGCTTTTAAAAAATAAAAAAATCCATCACTTACATCCTGTGAAAACTCATTCTTGGCATTGCCATGGCAACAAGACTTTTAAAAGGGAGTTAACTGAAATTTAGCTGCATGTATTATTTCTTTGTGATTCATACTTCATAAAAATGTAAATGTCAAACTAATACATGTTTTACCTTAATATTTTATACCACCATTTAGTCTTAATTGATCTAATGTTTTCCTTAATTAAATGTTGTGCTTCTTTGAATGGCTTTTCTCCTCCTCTCCCCACCATCCCCTTTTCTGTGGACCCATCAAACTATACATTTTGACTGGGTGACATGCAATTTAGGAAACTGTCACAGCAGAGATAAATCATGCTGACCTAAGAATTCAACAAAAAAGATTTTTAGAAAACTTGTCCTGCCTAGAAATTCAACCTACCCGCTCCTTTGGTAGAATTTTAGCACTTCCTTTGTCCTTGTTTATTCTCTTACCATTTGACTCTCTCCCTAAGACTGAGAAGCAGTATATCCTGATGTAGAAAGCACCACCAGTACATCCTGAAGTACAATGAGGCTTTAAAACTCCACAGCTTTGTGACCTTGGGCAAGTCATTTACCTAACCTTTTGGACCCACAATTTTCTAATAGGTAATGTAGAGATAAAATATCTTTGTCCTAGGACTTTTGTGAGTATTAAATAGAACAATATTTATAAAGTACTTGGCATAAGATATGTACTCAATAAATAGTGATGTTATCATTCCTGTAATAATAATAATAATTACAAAGGTAGAAAAAAATCTTATTCATTGAAAGCTCTGTATGTGTTTGAAAAATATATGATAATCTTTCTGAGATGAAGTCTGAAGCTGCAAGGGTGTAACATATTATGCCTGAGAAGAGATGAGAAATTCCCTTTTTAGTTTCGGAGGGTAAAAGATAATAAAAGTAAACAGAGGGAAATGGGGGAGAGAGAGCAGGTTGAACTACTAGTGAGATGGAAGAAGTCTATGTACCTCCTGACCTGACCCATTTCAGCAACTCTTACATATATTTTGTATTGTTGGACAAATCCATAAAATGATTCAAAAAATTAAGACCCCTAAAGCAAATGCGACAAAAACAGAACAAATTAATGGGACCTAATTGAACTAAAAAACTTCAGCACAGCAAAATAAATAGTCATCAAAGTAAACAGATGACCTACATAATGGGAGAAAATGTTGGCAAACTATGCATCTGACAAAAGACTAATATCCAGTATCTATGAGGAACTCAAACAAATCAGCATGAATAAAATAACCCCATAAAAAGTGGGTAAATGACCTTAATAGATAGTTCTCAAAAGAACATATAAAAATGGCCAACAAACATATGAAGCAATGCTCAACATCACTGATCATTAGGAAAATGCAAATTAAAACAACAACGAGGTACCACGTTACCCTGGCCAGAATGGCCATTATTAAAAAGTCAAAAAGCAATAGATGTTGGAGTGGATGTGGTAAAAAAGGAACACTTATACACTCCCGGTGGGAGTGTAAATTAGTACAGCCTCTATGAAAACAGTATGGAGATTTCTCAAAGAACTAAAAGTAGATCTACCATTTGATCCAGAAATTCCACTACTGGGTATCTACCCAAAGGAAAAGAAGTCACTATATCAAAAACATAACTACATGTGTATGTTTATTACAGCACAATTCACCGTTGCAAATATATGGAATCAATCTAAAATGTGGTGTGTGTGTGTGTGTGTGTGTGTGTGTGTGTGTGTGTGTGTGTGTGTGTGTATACCATGGAATACTAATCACCTGTAGAAAAAATGGAAAATGTCTTTTACAGCAACTTGGATAGAACTGGAGGCTATCATTCTAAGTGAAGTAACTCAGGAATGGAAAACCAAATACTACATGTTCTCACTTACAAGTGCGGCCTAAGCTATGGGTATGCAAAAGCATATAGAGTGGTATAATGGACACTGGAGACTCAGAATGGGGGAGGGAGGGGAGTGAAGGTAGAAAAACTACCTGTTGGGTATAATGTACACCACTTGTAATGTAATGACATGTAAAATGGCTGCAATGACAGCAATTTTTAATGGCCTGCCTCCTAGAGGCCTTAAACTCTTCCCTTTCTATTTATTTGTTTATTTATTTATTTATTTATTTATTTATTTATTTATTTATTTATTTTTTGAGATGGAGTCTCGCTCTGTCGCCCAGGCTGGAGTGCAGTGGTGCGATCTCTGCTCACTGCAAGCTCTGCCTCCTGGGTTCATGCCATTCTCCTGCCTCAGCCTCCTGAGTAGCTGGGACTACAGGTGCCCACCACCACACCTGGCTAATAACTGTTCCCTTTCTAGAAAGACTGTTTTCCTTTGCCAGAGTCAGGTTTTTCTTATTTCTTTGTCTTTTGCTTCTTTCAAAAGATCTTAGTTTATAGAGACCAGAACAGGCTTTTCATTTCCTGCAGATGGATGCTCAGTGGACAGTCCCTATATAATATTACTTAGTTCTGACCCTCCTCTCCTTTACCACCACTTCCCACCTGGGTTCCTGTTCTCTTCACCTTTAGCTCAGGAAGTAGCTGCTAGGAGCAGGGGTTTGAAAGGCTTAGCTGGAGTCGAATATTGGCTATGACACTGACTGGCTATATAATCTTCAGAAAGTCATCTTGCTAATCTTTTTTATCCTCCAATTCCTAATTTATAAAAAGGGGATAATGATTCTATTTTTAAAGGGTTGTTGTATGAATTAAGTGAGTTAATGTATTTGAAGCACTCAGTACAAGACGTGATCCTCGTTTGGTACTCAGTAAAAAGTTAGTTCTTTCCTTTTGCCTTCATCTAGATTTTTATTTATTTATTTATTTATTTATTTATTTATTTATTTATTTATTGTACTTTAAGTTCTGGGATATATGTGCAGAACGTGGAGGTTTGTTACATAGGTATATATGTGCCATCAACCCAAAATTTATATTAGGTATTTCTCCTAATGCTCTCCCTCCCCTAGCCCCCCAACCCCACGAACAGGCCCCAGTGTGTGATGTTCCCCTCCCTGTGTCCATGTGTTCTCATTGTCCAGCTCCCACCTATGAGTGAGAACACGTGGTGTTTGGTTTTCTGTTCTTGTGTTAGTTTGCTGAGAATCATGGTTTCCAGCTTCATCCATGTCCCTGCAAAGGACATGAACTCATCCTTTTTTATGGCTGCATAGTATTCCATGGTATATATGTGCCACATTTTCTTTATCTAGTCTATCATTGATGGGCATTTGGGTTGGTTCCAAGTCTTTGCTATTGTGAACAGTGCCACAATAAACATGTGTGCATGTATCTTTATAGTAGAATGATTTATAATCCTTTGGGTATATACCCAGTGATGTGATCGCTGGGTCAAATGGTATTTCTGGTTCTAGATCCTTGAGGAATCGCCACACTGTCCTCCACAATGGTTGAACTAATTGACACTCCCACCAACAGTATAAAAGCATTCCTGTTTCTCCACATCCTCTCCAGCATCTATTGTTTCCTGACTTGGTAGTGATCCCCATTCTAACTGGCATGAGATGGTATCTCATTGTGGTTTTCAATTGCATTTCTCTAATGACCAGTGATGAGCTTTTTTCATATGTTTGTTGGCCACATAAATGTCTTCTTTTGAGAAGGGTCTGTTCATATCCTTTGCCCATTTTTGATGGGGTTGTTTTTTTCTTGTAAATTTGTTTAAATTCTTTGTGGATTCTGGATATTAGCCCTTTGTCAGATGGATAGATTGCAAGATTTTTCTTCCATTCTGTAGGTTGCCTGTTCACTCCAGTGATAGTTTCTTTTGCTGTGCAGAAGCTCTTTAGTTTAATTGATCCCATTTGTCAATTTTGGCTTTTGTTGCCATTGCTTTTGATGTTTTAGTAATGAAGTCTTTGCCCATGCCTATGTCCTGAATGGTGTTGCCTACGTTTTCTTCTAAGGTTTTTATGGTTTTAGGTCTTAGGTTTAAGTCTCTAATCCATCTTGAGTTAATTTTTGCATAAGGTGTAGGGAAGGGGTCCAGTTTCAGTTTTCTGCATATGGCTAGTCAGTTTTCCCAACACCATTTATTAAATAGGGAATCCTTTCCCCATTGCTTGTTTTTGTCATGTTTGTCACAGATCACATGGTTGTAGATGTGTGGTGGTATTTCTGAGATCTCTGTTCCGTTTCATTGGTCTATATATCTGATTTGGTACCAGGACCATGCTGTTTGGGTTACTGTAGCCTTGTAGAACTTCGTGAAGCATACACAAGGATGAATAGCCAAATCTATCAAGTGGAAGAAAGGATATCAGAGATTGAAGATCAACTTAATGAAATAAAGCATGAAGATAAGATTAGAAAAAAAAAAGAATGAAAAGAAATGAACAAAGCCTCCAAGAAATATGGGACCATGTGAAAAGACCAAACCTGCATTTGATTGGTGTTCCTGAATGTGATGGGAAAAATGGAACTAAGTTCGAAAATACTCTTAAAGATATTATCCATGAGAATATCCCAACCTAGCAAGACAGTCCAAAATTCAAATTCAGGAAATACAGAGAACACCAAAAAGATATTCCTCGAGAAGAGCAACCCCAAGAAACACAATTGTCAGATTCACCAAGGTTGAAAAGAAGGAAAAAATGTTAAGGGCAGCCAGAGAGAAAGGTCAGGTTACCTAAAAAGGAACCCCATCAGACTAACAGTGGATCTCTCTGCAGAAACCTCACAAGCCAAGAAAGTGGGGGCCCAAATTCAACATTCTTAAAGGGAATAATTTTCAACCCAGAATTTCATAACCAGCCAAACTAACTTCATAAGCAAAGGAGAACTTCATAACCAGCCAAACTAACTTCATAACCTTTACAGACAAGTAAATGCTGAGAGATTTTGTCACCAGCGGGCCTGCCTTATAAGAGCTCCTGAAGGGAGCACTAAACATGTAAAGGAACAACTGGTAGCAGCAACTGCAAAAACATACCAAATTGTAAAGACCATCGACACTATGAAGAAACTGCATCAACTAACAGGCAAAATAACCAGCTAGCATCATAAGGACAGGATCAAATTCACACATAACAATATTAACCTTAAATGTAAATGGGCTAAATGCCCTCATTAAAATACACAGACTGGCAAATTGGATAAAGAGTCAAGACCCATCGGTGTTCTGTATTCAAGAGACCCATCTCATGTGCAAAGACACACATAGGCTCAAAATAATTGGTGGAGGAATATTTACCAAGCAAATGGAAAGCAAAAAAATGCAGGAGTTGCAACCCTAGTCTCTGATAAAACAGACTTTAAACCAACAAAGATCAAAAGAGACAAAGAAGGGCATTACACAATGGTAAAGGATCAATGCAACAAGAAGAGCTAACTATCCTAAATATATATGCACCCAATACAGGAGCACCCAGATTCATAAAGCAAGTTCTTAGAGACCTACAAAGAGACTTAGACACCCACACAATAATAGTGGGAGTCTTTAACACCCCACTGTCAGTATTAGACAAATCAATGAGTCAGAATATTAACAGGGATATTCAGGACTTGAACTCAGCTCTGGAACAAGTGGACCTAATAGACATCTGCAGAACTCTCCAATCCCAAATTAACAGAATATACATTCTTCTCAGCACCACATAGCATTTATTCTAAAACTGACCACATAATTGGAAGTAAAACACTCCTCAGCAAATGTGAAAGAATGGAAATCATAACCAATCGTCTCTCAGACCACAGAGCAATCAAATTAGAACTCAGGATTAAGAAGCTAATTCAAAAATGCACAGCTACGTGGAAACTGAACAAGCTGCTCCTGAATGACTACTGAGTAAATAAAATTAAGGCAGGAATATGTAAGTTCTTTGAAAGCAATGAGAACAAAGAGACAGTGTACCAGAATTTCTGGGACACAGCTAAAGCATTGTTTAGAGGGAAATTTATAGCACTAAATGCCCACAGGAGAAAGCGAGAAAGATCTAAAATAAACACCTTAACATCACAATTAAAAGAACTAGAGAAGCAAGAACAAACAAATTCAAAACCTAGCAGAAGACAAGAAATAAGTAAGATCAGAGCAGAACTGAAGGAGATAGAGACATGAAAAACCATTCAAAAATCAATGAATTAAAAGCTGGTTTTTTGAAAAGATCAACAAAATAGATAGACTGCTCACCATACTAATAAAGAAGAAAAGAGAGAAGAATCAATAAACATGATAGAAGAAGCAATAAAAAAAGATAAAGGGGATATCACCACTGATCCCACAGAAATACAAACTACCATCAGAAAATACTGTAAACACCTCTACGCAAATACACTAGAAAATCTAGGTGAAATGGATAAATTCCTGGACACATACACCCTCCCAAGTCTAAACCAGGAAGAAGTAGAATCCCTGAATAGACCAATAACAAGTTCTGAAATTGAGGCAGTAATTAATAGCCTACCAACCAAAAAAAGTCCAGGACCAGATGGATTCACAGCCGAATTCTAACAGAGTTACAAAGAGGAGCTGTTACCATTCCTTCTTAAACTATTTGAAACAATAGAACAAGAGGGACTCCTGCCTAACTCATTTTATGAGGTCAGCATCATCCTGATACCAACACCTGGCAGAGGCACAAAAACAAAAAAGAGTATTTCAGGCCAATATCCCTGATCAACAATGATGCGAAAATCCTCAATAAAATACTGGCAAACCAAATCCAGCGGCACATCCAAAGGCTTATCTACCTCGATCAAGTTGGCTTCATCCCTGGGATGCAAGGCTGGTTCAACGTACGCAAATCAATAAATGTAATCCATCACATAAACAGAAACAATGACAAAAACCACATGATTATCTCAATAGATGCAGAAAAGGCCTTCGACAAAATTCAACACCCCTTCATGCTAAAAACTCTCAATAAGCTGGGTATTGATGCAGACTTAAATGTCCCTGTCTGACAGCTTTGAAGAGAGCAGTGGTTCTCCCAGCACGCAGCTGGAGATCTGAGAATGGGCAGACTGCCTCCTCAAGTGGGTCCCTGACCCCTGACCCCCGAGCAGCCTAACTGGGAGGCACCCCCCAGTAGGGGCAGACTGACACCTCACACGGCCGGGTACTCCTCTGAGACAAAACTTCCAGAGGAACAATCAGAGAGCAGCATTCGCGGTTCACGAAAATCCGCTGTTCTCCAGCCACCGCTGCTGATACCCAGGCAAACAGGGTCTGGAGTGGACCTCTAGCAAACTCCAACAGACCTGCAGCTGAAGGTCCTGTCTGTTAGAAGGAAAACTAACAAATAGAAAGGACATCCACACCAAAAACCCATCTGTACATCACCATCATCAAAGACCAAAAGTAGATAAAACCACAAAGATGGGGAAAAAACAGAGCAGAAAAACTGGAAACCCTAAAAAGCAGAGCGCATCTCCTCCTCCAAAGGAACGCAGTTCCTCACCAGCAACGGAACGAAGCTGGATGGAGAATGACTTTGACGAGTTGAGAGAAGAAGGCTTCAGATGATGGAACGTATCTCAAAATAATAAGAGCTATTTATGACAAACCCACAGAAAATATACTGAATGGGCAAAAACTGGAAGCACTCCCTTTGAAAACCAGCACAAGACAAGGATGCCCTCTCTAACCACTCTTATTCAATATAGTATTGGAAGTTCTGGCCAGGGCAATCAGGCAAGAGAAAGAAATAAAGCATATTCACATAAGAAGGGAGGAAGTCAAATTATCTCTGTTTGCAGATGACATGATTGTGTATTTAGAAAACCCCATCGGCTCAGCCCAAAATCTTCTTAGGATGATAAGCAACTTCAGCAAAGTCTCAGGATAGAAAATCAATGTGCAAAAATCACAAGCATTCCTGTACACCAATAACAGACAAACAGCCAAAATCATGAGTGAACTCCCATTCAGAATTGCTACAAAGAGAATAAAATACCTATAAATACAACCTACAAGGGATGTGAAGGAGATCTTGACTTTTATAATTGCCTCTTGAGTTTCTTGAGGACAGGTAATGCCACTCTTTTGTCTTTCCTTCTGTATAGCTGCTGGCAACATGCCAATTCCAGAGAGAGGGGGCTGGCCTCATTTTACATTTTGCATCACTTTGTCTTTCCTTCTGCATACTCCAGTCATATTGGACTTATTCCAACCTGATGAATGTGCCATGTCTTCCCAAATGCAATTTCTTCTGCTGAGGGTGTTCTTTCTCATCTTTTCCTGGAAATTTTCAACTAAGTGTCAGCTTGAGATGACTCTTCTTCAGAGAAGCATTCCTTGATCCCCCAAACTTAGTTAGGACCCCATTTTGTTTTCCTTGCATTCTGTACTTTTCCTTTGCAGACTTGCAATCATTTAATTAATTGAAATTGTTCATTTAATATCTATATGCATTATAAGGCTGTAAGCTATTTAAGACACAGATAATGTCTATTTTGTCCAGCATATCTGTAATGCTCAACATAGTGTCTGGGATGAAGTTAAGAGCACTACAAACAGTTCTTATCTAATTGATTCTTAATACTATTCATTATTCTTAACCTAATTGGAGATTGGTGTTTACTTGAATAGGTGGCGTGCACATCTTGGCTCTAAGGGAATTAGGTGTTCATTGTAGTAATTTGTGCCTAATATGTACTTAATAAATAATGACTTCAGTCTAGGCTACTGAGAAAAGCAGGATTGCATGCACTTTAATATGCATGCTTGGTTTTCAATTTTAAAAGCTGTCCTTGTTTCACCAGGGAATTATTCCCCAAATTGCTTGCTATTGAACACTCGTCTGAGAGTTACTAATGGTTGTGAGAGCACTTTATGCTCTGTTCCTCTCTGAGAGAGTCACAATAAGCATGAGCATTTTTAAGGTTTTGAGAAGTCTGGTATTAATGAAAATGGACCATTGTTGCTTCATCCAGTCTTTCCAAAATGTGATCATTGATACCCTATTTACCTGAACATCTGTTAACATTTGCTGTAGTATGAACAGTGTAGCAAACATTGACATAAGGACTGACATAATTTATTTTTCACTTTCATTGTAAATGATGAAATACCCAGCAAGGATACTTCAGAGTTCAAAACTTTTAACTAAATAGAAAACAAATGCCTTCTTACTAACATACATCTACATTTCTAGAATGATTAAAGTTTTAATCTTGAGAGATTCTTGGAGGTCATGAAGCTGATGTGTGCTGTTACTGATAAGTGTTTAAAGAGGGAGGACAGGCTGGGCGTAGTGCCTCACAGCTGTAATCCCACCATTTTGGCAGGCCGAGGCTGGCAGATCACTTGAGGCCAGGAGTTTGAGACCAGCCTGGGCAACATGGTGAAACCCTGTCTCTACCAAAAAATACAAGAATCAATTGGGCATGGTGGTGTGCACGCCTGTAACCCCAGCTACTCAGGAGGCTTAATCGTGAGAATTGCTTGAACCCATGAGGCAGAGGTTGCAGTGAGCCGAGATTGCGCCACTTGCACTCCAGCCTGGGTGAGAGAGTGACAGTCTGTCTCAAACAAACAAAGGACCTCCATGTTTCCTGCAGAAGTATGCTATTGTGGTCACAGGCTCCTCAAGACACATTGCCTGTGGATGACCTTGGCTCATTTTACTACCTGTGGGTTTTTGGTCAAAATTCTCATTCTTTCTGTGTTTAGAACCTGCCTCTCTCATACAATAACGTACAAGCTAGAGTGGCAGTCTCTGGGTGGGGAGTAGAGAAGAGGTGAGAGATCTTGGGAGAGCCTGCATTAAAGGGCTGTCTATCTGGGAAATTGGAATCCAGTTTAAGTGCTCCTAGGCTGAGCTGCTCTGGGAAAACGTTTGATTTGGCGAAGGAAAATATGGCTATGTAGTTCTGCTAGGACTGTGACATGTTACAGAGTTAGGTGAATAAATATCTTGTTGCTGACAAAAACTGTATTTGTGTTTTGGGTTTTATTCTTGAAAATAAAACCTTCTGTGCCTTCTAAAACTAGTTTTCTCTTGTGTGCTTATGCTATGAAATAATTGCATTTCAAGCTTGGGTATTTCATTTAAAAATGTCATCAATCACATCCAAAAGAAACACCATTAAAAAAAAAGAAGGATCCTGAATGTCATTCCCTTCTGCAAATCTCAATGACTCTCTAAGCCCTACAGCAATGTTTCCAAAATGATGTTCCTTGTAATACTAGATGATTTTTAGGTGTTTCTTAAAAAAAAGTGTTTTGTAGACAAATAATATTGAGAGAATACAACTTTAAACAAATTTTATAAGCCTTCTGTACTGTAAATATTTAAAAAATAAATTAATCAAAACCACAATGAGGCCAGGTGCAGTGGCTCATGCCTGTAATCCTAGCACTTTGGGAGGCCGAGACAGGCAGATCACGAGGTCAGGAGATCAAGACCATCCTGGCTAACACTGTGAAACCCCGTCTCTACTAAAAATACAAAAAAATTGGCTGGGTGTGGTGGTGTGTGCCTGTAGTCCCAACTACTCAGGAGGCTGATGCAGGAGAATGGCGTGAACCCGGTAGGAGGAGCTTGCAGTGGGCCGAGATCGTGCCACTGCACTCCAGCCTGGGTGACAGCGAGACTCCATCTCAAGAAAAAAATAAAACCACAATGAGATACCATCTCATGACAATCAGAATGGTGATTATTGAAAAGTCGGGAAAAAACAGTTGCTGGTGAGGATGTGGAGAAATAGGAACGCTTTTAAACTGTTGGTGGGACTGTAAACTAGTTCAACCATTGTGGAAGACAGTGTGGTGATTCCTCAAGGATCTAGAACCAGAAATACCATTTGACCTAGCAATCCCATTACTGGGTGGGTATATACCCAAAGAATTATAAATCATTCTACTATAAAGACACATGCACACATATGTTTATTGCAGCACTATTCACAATAGCAAAGACTTGGAACCAACCCAAATGCCCATCAATGATAGACTAGATAAAGAAAATGTGGCACATATACACCATGGATAACTATGCAGCCATAAAAAAGGATGAGTTCATGTCCTTTGCAGGAACATGGATGAAGCTGGAAGCCATCATTCTCAGCAAACTAACACAAGAACAGAAAACCAAACACCACATGTTCTCACTTGTAAGTGGGAGTTGGACAGTGAGGACACATGGACACAGGGAGGGTAACATCACACACCAGGGACTGTCAGTGGTGGATGGGAGGCAAGGGAAGGGAGAGATTAGGACAAATATGTAATGCATGTGGGGCTTAAAACCTAGATGACGGGTTGATGGGTGCAGCAAACCACCCATGGCACATGTATACCTATGTAACAAACCTGCATGTTCTGCACTTGTATCCCTGAACTTAAAGTTTAAAAGAAAAAGATTTTAAAAAATTAACATTGAACAAAATCCAGAAATTAACAAATGGCCTATGAGGAAAAGGAAGCTTCCTCCCTTTCCTGTACAGGTATCCAGTTCCCTTCCAATTACCCTGGAGATAACCAATGATATTAGTTTTTCGTACAATTGAACCTTGAACAACACAGGTTTGAACTGTGTGGGTTTACTTATATGCAGAGTTTTTCAACTAAAAGCATACTGAAAATACAGTATTCATAGGATTTGAAACCTGCATATATAAAGAGCCGAATTTTCACGTAAGCATTTTCTGCAACGCTGCCTGAGGGACTGGAGTATGCACAGATTTTGGTTACTCTGGGGTCCTGGAACCAATTCCTTGCATATACTGGAGGATGACTGTATATACTTCCATATATATTATATTCATATACAAGTATGTGCATTTATATATTCCTTTTTTCAATGCTTTAATATTAGCATACTCTCTATATTTTTTGAAGTCCTGCTTTTTTTCACCGAACATGTTATTTTGTAGAGAATAATAATACCTAATATTTTTAGAGCACTTACTATGTGCCAGGCACTCTTTGAAGGATATTTACAAACAAAGTTTTTTACTTAATTATTATAACTATATGAGAGAAATAATATTTTATCCCCATTTTATGGATGAAGAAACATTGGAAGACAAAGGTTATGTAACCTGCCCCAAGCAAGACAATAAGTAGCGCTGGGTTCATATAGCGACAATCTGGTTCTGGAGCCTTTGCTCCCAGCCACTATACTTTATTGCTATATGTAAGTAATTTAAGTCCTGCCTTATTTTTAAGATGATAATTGCATAGTATTTCATTATGAAAATGTGCTACAATTTATTGAACCAGTTTTTGGTATATAGAGTTTATGTATAGTTATAGTTGTTTTCAGTATTACCCTTTATTTATTTATTTATTTTGAATTTTTTTGAGACAGAGTCTTGCTCTGTCACCCAGGCTGGAGTGCAGTGGTGTGATCTCGGCTCACTGCAAGCTCTGCCTCCTGGGTTCACACCATTCTCCTGCCTCAGCCTCCTGAGTAGCTGAGACTACAGGCGCCTGCCACCACACCCGGCTAATTTTTTGTATTTTTTTAGTTGAGACGGGGTTTCACCGTGTTAGCCAGGATGGTCTCAATCTGACCTCGTGATCCACCCGCCTTGGCCTCCCAAACTGCTGGGATTACAGGCGTGAGACACCGCGCCCAGCCTAGTATTACCCATTATTATAAACAATGCCATGATGATGAATATTCTTGTACAAAAGTGATTTTACGCATGTGCAAGTATAATCTGTAAGGATAAATTCCTAGAAAAAGAATTGCTGGCTTAAAGGATAGGTAGATTTTTAATTAGGATAAGCATTGTCAAATTGCCTTCCATAAGGATTACATTAGACTGAATTTGATTAAATTGCTAGTTAAACAATTTATATCTCTTTGGGTGTATACTCAGTAATGGAATTGCGGGGTCAAAGGGTAGTTCTGTTTTGAGTTACTTGAGAAATCTTCAAACTGCTTTCTGCAGTGGCTGAACTAATTTACATTCCCACCAATAGTATATATGCATTTTCTTTCTCCACAACCTCACCAGCATCTGTTATTTTTTGACTTTGTAATAATAGCCAATTTGACTTGTGTGAGATGATATCTCATTGTGGTTTTGATTTGCATTTCTCTAATGACTAATGATGTTGAGTATTTTTTCCATATGCTTGTTCACATGTATACTCTTCTTTTCAGAAGTGTTTGTTCATGTTTTTGTTTTTTTGAGACAGAGCCTCACTGTGTACCCAGGCTGAAATGCAGTGGCATGATCTCGGTTCACTGCAAACTCCACTTCCGGGTTCAAGCGATTCTCCTGCCTCAGCCTCCCAAGTAGCTAGGATTACAGGTGCCTGCCACCACACCCAGCTAATTTTGTATTTTCAGTAGAGATGGGATTTCGCCATGTTGGCAAGGCTGGCCTTGAACTCCTGACCTCAAATGATCTGCCCTCCTCAGCCTCTCAAAGTGCAGGGATTACAGGTGTGAGCCACTGAGCCCAGCCTGTTCATGTTTTTTGCCTATTTTTTAATAGAGTTGTTTGTTTTTTGCTTATTTGATTTGTTTAAGTTCCTTGGAGATTCTGGATGTTAGATTTTTGTTGAGTGCATAGTTTGCAAATATTTTCTTCCATTCTGTAGGTTGTCTGTTTATTCTATTGGCAGTTTATTTTGCTGTGAAGAAGCCCTTAGTTTAATTAGATCCCATTTGTCAATTTTTGTTTTTGTTGCAATTGCTTTTGGAGTCTTCATCATGAAATTGTTGCCAGGGCCTATGTCCAGAATGGTATTTTTTAGGTTTTCTTCCAGGGTTTTTATAGTTTTATGTTTTACATTTAAGTCTTTAATCCATCTTGAGTTGATTTTTGTATATGGTGTAAGGAAGGAATTGATTTTCAATCTTCTGCATATGGCTAGCCAGTTATTCTAGGACCATTTATTGAATAGGGACCCCTTTCTCCATTCCTTGTTTTTGTAAACTTTTTTGAAGATCAGATGGTTGTAGGTGTGCAGCCTTATTTGTAGGCTCCTTATTTTGTTCCATTGGTCTATGTATCTGTTTTTGTACGAGTATTATGCTGTTTTGGTTTCAGTAGCCCTGTAGTATAGTTTGAAGTCAAGTAGAGTGATTCTTCTGGCTTTGTTATTTTTGCTTAGAATTGCCTTGGCTATTTGAACTCTTTTTTGGTTCCATATCAATTTTAAAATAGTTTTTTCTTGTTCTGTGAAGAATGTCATTGGTAGTTTGATAGGAATAGCATTGAATTAATAAATTGCTTTTGCAGTATGGTCATTTTAACGATAGAGAATGAATTCAATTCCTTTACTTAATACAGGCCTATTCAGATTTTCTTTTTTTTAGTCAGTCAATTTAATTTTCAATGTTATATAAGTAATTTTTGATAACAAGTTATTTATAATATCACTTACAATTCCTTTAATTTTTGTGTGGCTAGTACTAATGTTTCTTCTTTCATTCCCCATTGTGATAATTTGTGTCTTCCCTTTTTTTCAAGGTCATTCTCCTTAAAGATCTGTCAATTTTGTTAATCTTCTCAAAAAAACAACTTTTGGTTTCATTGATTTTTCTGTATTTAATTTATTTTGTTTTGTGTTTTTTTGGTTGCCTCCCACCTAATCTCAATTGTTTACCTTTTTATGTTAGATTGAGGGCTTTTTTCTGGTTTCCTAAGGCAGAAGCTTAAGGTATGAAAGTTATTGATTTTAGACGATTTTATTTGTTTCAGATATAGTCATTTAAAGCTATACATTTTCCTCTAAGCAGTGTTTACTCAGTCCTATTAATTTTTGTAATCCTTGTTTTTATTTTTATTCTGCTAACATATTTTCTAATATCCCTTGTGATTTACACTTTGACTCATGGGTTATTTAGAAACATATAGTTTAATTTTATTGGAATTTCCAGAGTTATTTCTGTACTCATAGCTAATTTCATTCTCAGTTGATATTTTATTCATGAATACTCTTTATTCTAAGAGTTAAATTTCACTAATTATTTAATGCATATTTTTCTCTTAATTAGAAACACTAATTTCCAGAGATAATAGTAGTTGTGGGAAGGTTTTGAAATGGACTGAAGTTTCATGAGGATATTAGATTGATGGTTTTGTCCTTATTGTTTTAATATTTTTTCTATATTAATTTTTCTATGTATTCATTTTGATTATACGCTCTCTTACGTAAAACTTTTGAAAAGTATATAGAAATGTATTAAGAGAAGTAGAGAATAACTTTGCTGATGTTTTCTACCTCGAGACAACTTTTTGGACTTCTTAGTTTCCTTCCTTTCCCTCCCTCCCTTCCTTGTTTCTGTTCAAGAACAACTGATCGAACAAAGTAGTGCCCTTGTGCCAGGGACTAGCCTCCTTTTTTTTTTTCCTTCTGTACAAATTCTTTTTCATAGATGGTATTGCATCCTGCATGTAATTTTCTGTTTTATCTTTTTCATTAGTGTTATATTCTCGGTTTTATTGATGCTAAATATTTTTGTGAACATTATTTTAAATAATTATATTCAATTTATTAATGTGCCAAGTCTGATGTTGAGCTTTTAGCTGGTTTCCAGATTTTTGCTACTATAAATATTACTGTAGTCAACGTCTTGATCAATGAAGCTAGGTCTCATTTTGTCTCCTTATGATAGCTTCTCAGAATTTGAATTACAGGGTCAAAGGATATATATATCTTAATACATTTCTATATCAATTTAAAAACAATTTTTGTTTATGTGACTTTCATATGGACTGCTTTAAAATACTGTAAGGGGTATACTTTTATGTATTTAGGTCCTACAGACAGACCTACAAAGAAACACTCTGTCAATTTATTACTATAGGAGTAAGCCTACCAAGTAAGAGTCAAAATAGCTATCTCATAAGAGTAACTTGTCACAAGATAAAGAAAAATAAGGAAGGGTGAAGTTTTTCCTGTTTAAGTGAATGCAAGTATACATTCCCACACAGGGCTCTCTTGAGTCTGTCAACAAGCTTCAATTAATCTTAAATAATTATCAGAATTTCACTCTTAATTGGGACTAATACTGCTCATTTCACTCTCGCAGTAATAAACCAGCATTGTCTCTAGCATTTAGAAAGTATAGACAAAGCTATATTTTCCAATCTCATGCAATTTTAAATTTGATTATATGAAATATTATATAATTTCCATTTTAATTGATGTTCAATTTTTCCCATTGATGTACATTTATGGTGATTTGCATATAACTTTCATGCTTTCCCTACAAATGCCAATACTTTGAAGTCCTAAAATATTGGTGAACACTCTGCTTTTTGGTCTCTGTGGATTTAGGGTTTTATCAATTATGCAGTTTTTGACCATAGGTAAGTCTATTGAGACAGCTATGGTATAGTGAAAAAGGGAATTAACATTTATGGAGGAATCTAGGGTCCAAATGCAAGCTTGATTTTAGGTTCAAGTCACAGTGTTGCTTCTCCAGTTATGGTTTGAGTTTCCTTTAGTCATATAATTAGGATTGGGAATTCATACCTGGATGCTTAGGGATTGAGAAAAATAAAATTAGTTGGTCTCACATCATGCTTTGATTTAAAGCCATTTATACTCAACAATATTAAATAAAAAAGAGTGCTCCTTCTAGTTCAACTCAGCTTATATTGAACTTCTCTGTTTTGAGGTTTGAGATCTAAACCACAGCTTATAATAAAATGTCCTCCCTACCTTCACTGGTAATTGTTTCCTGTATGCATACAACTCCTTCCAGGACTTGTGGAAAGGAGTAATTTATTGAAGGCAGAACTAGAATTTACCTTGCATCCCTGGACATATGCATCTTAAAAATCCCCAGTTCACCCATATTTCTAACATAAATGAAGCATAGTTCAACATACTTGAAGAATGGCCTTACAAATGTATGTGGTCTTGGTTAAGTTAATCAATCCCTATGTGTCTCAGTGTGATGAGATCATAATATAGGTTGTTTCAGTAATGACTTAATGATATCACTCATTTAGGAGCTCCTTGAGGAAACAAATTATATTTTGTCCATTATGAATTCTTCAGTACCTAGTATGTAGTATGTGGCACATGTAGGTGCCTCAATCCATGCTTGTTGAATTTTGAATTCAAGAAAGATATAGGCACATATAAGAGAACGAACCAGGATGTCTGGGTTGGCGGTTCAAATGAACAGGTGTTAATCAAGGCTGGGGAGTTTTACATTAAAGTCTTTGAGCTAGACAGTAACTTTGAAGTATTGCTTCCAGAATGTAGATTCTAACCCAGTCTCAGGCAGAAGAGCATTCTTAATTCTTCCTAGGCCTTGAGCAGTGTCTTCATAACCACTGGTATGTTGATTCGTTGACATTCTCTAAGTGTCTGCTCAATGCTAAAATTTGTACTGGGTGCTAGGAATACAACAATGAATGAGACGGATTCAGTCTCTGTCCTTAAGGAGCTCAGGGTGGAAATTATAGCATCCACAAATAGGTACACTGCAGTGTCACAGAGGTTATAAATTAGAATGTATTACAGAGGACAGTGTGGGCACAAAGCATTATGGTGTATTATAACTGAGGAAGCATTGCCATGAGAAACTAAGATTTTGCTGGGCATAGATAAGGCATACAAGGACATTCTACGCTGTAAGATTGTAAGGAGAGACATAGTGGCCTGGAACAGCTTAATGTGCTTGGGAAATAAATATTAATTCAGGTTGGCTGGATTACATGGTGTGGAGTATGGAGCCTGGTGAACCAAGATGCATAGAGTAAGGGTGAGGAACTTTAGGTGAGGGAATCATTGAGAGATTTTAAGAAGGAAATGATGTGGCCTGATTAAGAATTTAGCAAGATCTTTCCTATTTTATTTTTCTCCTGAAAAATTACAGAGCCTCAGAATTTCATTATTTCAATGTATTTGTTTATTATGAAAATAATAATAATAATAATAAATTTAAAAATCACTGCCTTGCTGCATCATGAGTCTGGAGGCCAGAAGCAGAAGGAATCTCTGACAGGGCTGGAGTTTGCAAACAACAAGTTGCTGTTGTGGGGAGTAATATTTTAAAATGTAATGTTTGTGCTATTATTCTCATTATATATACACCTGTTGTGTTGCCAAGGAACTGTTTAGCAACATGATGCCAGACTTTCAATTCTGATATTTACTCTTCAGTCCCCTTATAAGTAATGACAAAGAATAGAGCCTTTTGCATACAGGGTTCCAGCTAGCGGGTATTTAATTTAGTTCAAGCCAGTATTATGATGGATATATATATGCATGAATACTATGCAATGACATTGCGTTAGGCATAAGTGATACAGAGGTGAATAAAACCAGTTGCCTAATGGTGAGATGAGTCACCATATCTCAATAAGATAAGCAGCATGAGCTATGGGAACACAGAGGAGGGGCCCCTGGACTAGGTGGGCTAGGTACTCAAAGTAGATTATTTCTTTTCTTTTCTTTTTTCTTTTCTCTTCTCTTCTCTTCTCTTTTCTTTTTCTTTTCTTTTCTTTTCTTTTTTCTTTTCTTTCTTTTCTTCTGTTTTGAGATGGAATTTCACTCTTGTTGCCCAGGCTGGAGTGCAATGGCATAATCTCGGCTCACTGCAACCTCTGCCTCCTGGGTTCAAGCAATTCTCCTGCCTCAGCTTCTCGAGTAGCTGGGACTACAGGCATATGCCACTACACCTGTCTAATTTTTTTGTATTTTTATCAGAGACGAGGATTCACCATTTTGGCCAGGCTGGTCTTGAACTCCTGACCTCAGGTGATCCACTCAAAGTAGATGATTTCTGAGCTAAGGCTTTAAAGGTGAGTAGGAATGGAACAAACCAATGAAGAATGGGAGGAGGAGGGAGGAAAAGGTGGAGAATGGATGAGAGTTTTTAGACAGAACTAGATGAGTCAAGACAGAGGTGAGGGACACTCTGGTGTATGTGTAGATGAATAAGTAATTTAATATAACTCAATTATTTTTCCTTTTAATTTATAAAACTGTTATTTTGTGGTGCTGGTTACTAGAGAACAAGGTACTCAGAATTAAATTCTGATTTGTTTCATGGAGGTGCTGCTTTAACGAAAAGAGCACTGCCCTTGGAATAAAACATTAATGTATTCATTCATTCATTCAGTCAGTCAGTCAGTCTCTAAACGATTATTGATTATGGTTGCATGCTAGATACTATGTTCATGCTGAGCAGGATATCCTCTTTTATCTAATTGTATAAATTTGGGCAAAGCTCCTGCTATTTCTGAACCTTAGTTCTACATCTCTAAATTGGGACATTAATACTGTCTTCACAAGATCTTTTTGAGGATCAAGTTAGATTGTATGTGAATGTTTTTGTAAATTCTAAAGTGCTGTCCTACCACTTTTCATATTAATAATGTTGCATATGAAAAAGTTGTCTTGATAGACTGAAATGAAATTTGTTACCGAGCAAAGAAACTTGCAGCAAAGAGGAATGCTAGTCATTCTCTAGGCATACTCTGATGCTTTGAATCCAGCAAATTAAAACAAAAACTTTTCCTGAGAGGTGTCTTAGGTTCCTTACCAACCCTGTCTCCTGGAACTCGGTGTTTTTTTTCCAAGTATAAAATGGGGATAGCAATGCCTAACACACAGTGTTTTTTATGGGGATTACATGAGGCAACATATATAAAAGAAATAATTTAACTCAGTATTTGACAGTCAATACATTTTCCATAAATATTTGTGTCTTCTGAATCTAAGCAAAAATAAGCAATTCACTTTGTAGGTTTGAACAAGCAAAGATATTATTTTAGAACTTGTAATTAACATATGGGTAAAGGTAGGGAATTGTCAAATATGGCCCCAATACACAGACAGAATATTCAGGGGGGAAAAATGGGAATTATTTTTATGGCATCTGATTCTAAAAGGTAAGACTTAGGTTTTCATTTGTGATTATCAAAATTCTTCCAACTTCGACTCTGCCTGTGCCCAAAGCCACTCCCACATGTTTGTATATTTGTCATAGCAGCACCCCACTATCATTACCAGAATCTGTATTAGTTATCTAATTAATGTGTAATAAGTTGTCACAAATTTAGTGACTTAAAATAGCATATTTATTATATAATAGTTTATTTGGATCAAGAGTTCAGACATGACTTAGCTGTGTCATCTGCTTGGGATCTCACAAAGTCAATAATTAAGATGATGGTTAGGTTGCTTTCTTATCTGGAGGGTTGACTAGGGAAGAATCCTCTTCTAAGCTCATTAGGCATGTTAGCAGACTTCAACAACCTTTTATAGGATTGAGGGCACTGGCTTCTTGGTGACTGTTGGCTGGAGGCCACCCTCTGATCTTAGAGGCTGCCTGCAGTTCTTAGATGCTATCTTCTGCATTTCCTAGATGCTGCCAGCAGTTCCTTGCCACACGGGCTTTTCCAATATAGCTGTTTATTTCATCAAACCAGCTCTCTAGGGCAGATTTCCTAGCAGGGTAGAGTTGTTTAGAATGTAACATAACCATGTGAGTGCCATCCTATCACCTTTGTCATATTATGTTGTAAGAGCAAGTCACAGGTCCTTCCAGTACTCAAAGGGAGAGATTATACAGGGGCATGAACACTGGGAGGCAGAGATGATGTAGAGCTACGCTGTAGTTTGTTCCCCAGAGAAGGTTCAAGTAAATCTGAAAATAATTAACTCTAACTATAATAGGTGAAATGCATAGCACTGTGTATTACTTGACATATAGTAAGTGTTCTATTCATACTATTTGAATTGAATATACACTTTTAAGAGTGGTTTAGATAAACCAGAGATTGGCTGTAGGATAATAACTACGATGGAGAGGGAAAGCAAGTCCATTTTCCTAAACATTTAATGAACTGGTTCTGCAACTTACAAGCTGTGTGATCTTGAGCATGTTTCTTAACTTTGGAGGACTTGATGTTCTCATATTTGGAATAGAAATAACAACAGCAGCTACTTCATACAATAAATGAGATAAAGCATACTTTAAATATTTAATCATTTAAGTGTAGTCCTGATAAAGGCAGATATACCCTGAAGCTACAAAACTTAAATTTCTGGGTTTCTCCCTTGCATGTGTCCTTTAAAGGTCTTGAACCTGATTTCATATTCATAATATTGTTTTCGGTTTCTTAAAGAGAGTCTTCATAAGCTTCAGAGCCCACAAACCCACAAATCCTGGGTCTACCTCTGGTAAATTTTAGGAGAAAAAAAAGAAATTGAGCATGTCATTCCTTAAAAAGAAAAATTATGGTCATTGTCTAGAGCATTCTCAGAGGGACTAGAAACCACTATGAAACAAGTCACTGCTTTCCAAGATGACGTGTAATACCTCATAGGGTCAAGAGTATTTAATAAAATGATAACTGCCCCCCAATGGAAGGATACTGTAAGAAAATTACATTATATTGACAGTGCTGGCAATAGTGGGAGGTATACCAGATGACGTTTAAGATCCATTCTAACCCTAAAGCTAAATTATTTGGAATAATCTTGTATATTCATTTAAAAAACTAATGTCAAAGACCAACAAATTCATTTTAGACACATTGTTCTTATTTAATCTTCCTGCCCTGATAAAAAGCATTGGGAGAGGGGGTCCCTAGTTTCTGGTCTCAGAAAGCCTGAAGTAAAGTGTTTCCACTGGAAGCTAAAGTCAGTAAGATTTGGGAATTCAAACATGGGTCTCCTACCTAAAGACTCTCCACAAAGCAGAAATAGCAACATGGAGATAATATAAGGAGAAGGAAAAAAATAAGGCAACAAGAGTACTGAGAACAAGGAGTAAATGGTGTAAGCAAGTGAAAGCTGACTTGGAGGAATCTAGTGAGAGTGCTGATCTCTGGAGTTGGTTTTTTATGGGGCTTCAGGACTGGCTTAAGGGTATATGCCACATCCATTTAAGATAAGCCAACTGGGGCAGATTGATCCACTCTACGGTTAGGATTCGGAGTTAATTTTTCTGTTCTAGAGATGATAGGTGGTTGCTGACAGAGGACGTTTACTGAGGGGAACCCCAGTGTCCTAGCCACTTTAAATAGGAAAAATTTACTGTTTTTGTTTTTGTTTTTTTTAACTCTCAACACTTCTGGCACCAAATGTGTCGCTGTTTTCCATATGACAGAACAATTCTCCAGCTACCAATTGTGTGCCCTACAATTCATTTATGACAATAACCAGCTGGAATTAGTGCAGACACCACAGATTATGAGCTCAGACCCATAAGACTGCCCCCCATTTCTGATGCTAATCCCAAGCAGGGGGCCCCATATTACCCACATTGATGTTTGAATTTGCTAAAAATCAGTAATTTTGATGACACCCCTCCTTGGGTTTGATAATTTTCTGTGATCACCCATGTAACTCAGGGAAACACTTACTTATATTTACTGGTTTATTATAAAATATGATAGACGATACAGATGAAAAGCCAGATGAAGATGTACATAGGACTAGGTCTGGAAGCGTCCTGAGCACAAAAGCTTCTGTGTCCACATGGAGTTGGGAGTGTGCCACCCTCTTAGTATGTGGATATGTTCACCATCCCAGAAGCTCTTAAAGCCCCATATGTTAAGCTGGTAAGCAGCCTTTATTCTGAAGCTATCCAGGAGCCCATCAAGAGTTGTTCCTTCATTGGAACAAAATATTCCTATCTCCCAGGAAATTCCAAGTGATTTAGGAGCTCTGGGTCAGAAACCAGGGCCAGGAAGCAAATATTAAAATAAAAGATACTCCTAACACGTGTATCACTTAGGAAATTACAAGGGTTTTAGGAACTCTGCACCAGGAACTGGGAATGAAGACCAAATATATATATTTCTTGTCATATCACAGTATCACATCCTCTAAGGCAAAAACCACTTTTGCTGAAAACAGTGGGTATTGATAGGCATGCAAGAGCATAGATCTGGTTTTGGAAAATGTTACTGAAAAATTATGTTATTGTTACCAGCTAGGATCAGCTAGGGACCAGGAGAAAATCCGCAATAAGGGAGATGAATCAGACTTGGGGAGTGGCCAGAAAACTATAAGAGATAACATACCCTGAGTCCCATCCCCTGTCTGAGACCTAAGTGGCTATAGTAAGACACTACTCTCAATACTAGCTCCTAACAAACGGTGCATGGTTTTGGAAACTATTGGCCTTAGTCAGGTTGTGGCTTTTGGAAGTGATGCTTGAGTGGGGCATGAGCTTCCATGACTAGTGAGACTGGCATGGCCTTCAGCCACTGGTGCTGGAACCAGGCAACCCCCAGGAACTGAGCAGGATGAGAGTTGCTATGCAGGCTTGGTCCTGAGCTGGGCAGGTGCTCTTATGGCCAGGTTTTGGGTTGCAAGTGAAGCATGAACTACCTCATCTGACTGAAGTATAAGGTTGGCTGGGACTGGGGAGGGAGACTTGCTGGGATGTGCACTTGCTGGCCAAGGCTGTGACAGCTGGGACCAGGATCCCACTCCTACCTTGTGGAAGGACCTCAGCACAGGGGCTGTTACCCCTCCCCCAAACATTTTACCAGGGACCTTAGGATTGCCCCATAACTGTCATGGCTGATGCATGCACTTGCCATCAGGAGGCCCAAGCACAGGTTTGCCCAGTCAACTTCCAATCAGTTTTTTTCCATCTTCTAAGACAGAGTGTGGGATCCAGGCTTCTGAGAGATTTGTAGCCCATCCCAGTGCGTAGGACACCTAAGGACTTGTCCTGGGGAACAAAAGTCAAGCATGAACACCCTGCTGCTACCTCATCAGCTTGTTTCTACCTGCAAGTGCCACCTGCTGGCTCAGAGACCAGCTCATACAACCCCCTGCAACTACTCCCAACACAAGAGCACAGGGCTTGGGACCTGGGAGAACACTTCACCACTGCTGCTACCACCATTGCCTATGGCATCTCAGCTGCCCAGGAACTCAAGAGCCCACTCACTTGCCTCGTATAGCACTACTACAATTGACATGCAAGAAAGCCACCCAGAGGCCCAAGAATCAGCCTGCCTAGAACTCCCAACACAGATGCCAGCATATACTGCTCCAGGTCACAAGGACAAACATGAATAGCTCATCACCACTACCACTGAAACCTGAAGGGTCCATCTGGCATTCAAATATCCAGCACAACTGCAACAAAGCCTCCATCAATAACCATGCCCTAACACACTGAGGAATCCACAGACGCCACTAATGCTATTTATAGCCAAGGAAAACCAGGTAGTTTTCACCACTGCATAAATCCAGAAGCAAAACCAAACAACCCCATTCAACCATCATCATAGTCACACCTTCAAGAAAAGCTCCTCTCCCAACAAAAGTAAATATAAACATAAGTTTTACACCAGATACACATAAATTGACATACAGACACAGGAAAAACATAAAAAATGAGGTGATATGATGCCCTCAAAGAAACACAATAATTTTCCAACAACAGATTCTAACCAAAAATAAATTCTTGAAATTCCAGATAACTCAAAGTATTGATTTTAAAGAAGTTCAATGAGATGCAAGAGAAATCTGAAAACCAATACAAAGACATCATAAACCCAATTCAGAATGTGAATGAGAAATTTACCAAGGAAATATATATCTTTTTTAAAAAAAGAAATTCTGGAACTGAAAATATCATTGAAGTAAATATAAAATATGTGCAAAAGCTTCAACAACAGACCAAACCAAGCAGAAGAAAGAATTTCAGAACTTGAAGACAGGTCTTTTGAGATAATTCCGTCAGGCAAAATATAAAGAAAAAAATAAAGCCTTTGAAACATTTGTGACTGCATAAAGCAATCAAACTTATAAAATATTAGTATTCTGGATAGGGAAGAATCAAAAAGTTTAAAAATCTATTTAACAAGTTAATAGATGAAAATTTTCAAGTCTAGTAAGAGATTTAGACATCTAGATCCAGGAGGCACAACAATTTTTAGGGAAACACAGGGCAAAAAGGACTTTATTGTGGCATATTACAATTAGACATTCTAAAGTCAAAGTGAAAGAATGAATTCTAAAAAACAGCAAGAGAAAAACATGTGACTCACAGTGGACTACCCAGCAGAAACCACACAGGCCAGAATAGAATGGGATGACGTATTCAAAGTACTGAAAGAAAAAAACTGTCAGTAAAGAATTCTATATCCAGCAAGAGAATGCTTCATAAATGAAGGAATAAAGTCTTTCCCAGACAAGCAAATGCTGAGGGACTTTATTACCACCAGTCCAGTTCTACAAGAAATGCTCAGAGGACTTATAAACATGGAAGGGACAATAGTCACCATCAAGAAAATACATAGAAGTATAAAATTCACTTGTAAAGCAATTGCACAAAGGAGGAAGAGAAAGGAATCAAATTGCACCATTACAGAATTCCACTACACCACAAATAGAAACAGACAGAAATAAAGAAACAAAGAATTTTTACAACTACTAGTAAACTATTAACAACATTACAGTAGCACAACCTCACATACTAATAATAACCTTGAACATAAATATATTAAGTTCTCCACTTAAAAGATAAGGATTGTCTGAATGGATTTTAAAAAAACTTGATCCGACTATATGCTGCATACAAGAAACTGTTCTTACTTATAAAGACACATATAGACTGAAAATAAAGACATGGAAAACGATATTCCATAGAAATGGAAACTGAAAGTGAGCAGGAATGGTTATACTCATATCACATAAAGTAGGCATTAAATCAACATAGTTAAAAAAAAGACAAAGAAGGTTATTATATAATCACACAGGGATCAATTGAGCGTGAGAATATAACAACCCTAGCTACATATGCACCCAATACCAGAGCACTTAGATTCATAAAACAAATATTACTAGACCTAAAGGGAGAGACAGCCTGCAATATCAGAATACCAGGGGACTTCAATACCCCACTCACAGCATTGGACAGATTATCAAGAAAATTAACAAAGACACACTGGACTTAAATTGGACTTTAGACCAAATGGACTCAAAATACATTTTTAGAAAATTCTAGGCTGGGTGCAGTGGCTCACGCCTGTAATCCCAGCACTTTGGGAGGCCTAGGCAGGTGGATCATGAGGTCAGGAGATCGAGACCATCCTGGCCAACACGGTGAAACCCCGTCTCTACTAAAAATACAAAAAATTAGCTGGGCACGGTGACAGGCGCCTGTAGTCCCAGCTACTCGGGAGGCTGAGGCAGGAGAATGGCGTCAACGTGGGAGGTGGAGCTTGCAGTGAGCCAAGATAGCACCACTGCAGTCTGGCCTGGGTGAAAGAGCGAGACTTTATCTCAAAAAAAAAGAAAATTCTACCCAGTTGCAGAGTATATATTCTTTTAATCAGCACATGGGACATTCTGCAAGATACACTATATGTTAGGCCACAAAACACATCTTAACAAATTTTTAAAAATAAAAATCATACCAAGTATCTGCATAGACCACAGTGGAATAACAAGAGGACTTAGGAAAGTATACAAATACATGGAAATTTAAAAACATGCTTCAAAAAGAGAGCATATTTGTATTAGGGTTCTCTAGAGGAACAGAACTAATAGGAGAGAGATGTATATATATTCTTGATATTTATCATATATAGATGAGTTTATTAAGTGTTAACTTACATGATCACAAGGTACCGTAATTGGCTGTCTGCACGCTTGAGCAGCAAGGAAAGCCAGTCTGAATCTCAAAACTGAAGAACCTGGAGTCCAATGTTCAAGGACAGGAAGTGTCCAGCATGGGGGAAAAATGTTAGCTAGGAGGCTAGGCCTTTCTCTCCTTTTCACATTTTTCTGCCGGCTTTATATTTGCTGGCAGCTGATTAGATGGCACCCACCCAATTAAGGGTGGGTATGACTTTCCCAACCCTCTGACTCAAATGTTAATCTCTTTTGGCAACACCTTCACAGATATACCCAGTATCAATACTCTGTATCCTTCAATTCAATCAAGTTGGCACTCAGTATGAACCATCACAAGTTCACCCCTTGTCAACTTCAACCCATACGCTCTACTGAGAGCATACATAATCTTCAAATAAAGACAGCAAAAAGGTCATAATTACAATTAACATAATACAACGATCCTTCATACAACCAGAAATGCACCAATCCCCAACCCAAATACTATTACATAAAGTTAACAATACTTAAATGCTGATATGAAGTCAGTAAATCTCATGTCACATGATAAGGGAAAAAGGAAATAAAATGAAGATATTTTCTTAGTACAAGTGCATACGTGCACAAACATGTTTTTAACAAACCAAGCAGGAAATACTCATGACAATTACAGTCCTCATTTCTGCAGCTGGTCATGTGGTCATAGCTGGTATTAATGACTACCCATTCTGTATTCCTTTTGCCTTCAGCAAGCACCTCAGCAGGTCATGGTTTTTTTTCCTGGTGGAGTGACCAAAACCTTCATTCCTGAAGGGTCTGGGCCATTTGCAGTCCTGCCTGGATTGGGCTGTTGTAGTTTGCCATTGACCTTAATCACAGGGCATGGTAATACTAAGAGATGCCATAATGGATCTCCTGTATTCCATGCATACTCTTCCTTACCTCCATTGTGGAGTAGTAGACTGATTTCATCTTGATAGTCCGGGTCAACCACCCCAGCCAACACTGCAACTCCCTTCTTAGCTTGTTGACTTAAAGGTAGGAGGAGACTAAAGTATCCAGGTGGCAATCTTAACTTGTAGTTTAATGGAATTGTTGTTGTGCCTCCTGGTGGCAGCGTTCCTCCCTCTGGAACTAAGACCTCTAGGCCAGCAGAACATAAGGTCACGGGAACAGAAAGCAAACATTTTGTTAGTGGATCACTGGGGTGATGGTGAGTGGTGCCACTTCCATATCCACCCCTTGATTTCTGGACCCATGAATCCCAACTATGGGAGAGAAAATACCATATATTGGACTCTGATTCAGAGCATACACGGCCTTATGGAGAACTTTTCCCCAGCCCTGCAAAGTATTGTAACCTAGTTGGCATTGTAATTGTGACTTCAAAAAGCCATTCCATCATTCTATCAATCCAGCTGCTTCAGGATAATGAGGAACATGGTAAGACCAGTGAATTCCATGAGCCTGAGCCTACTGCCACTCTTCTTTAGCGGTAAAGTGAGCGCCTTGCTCAGAGGCAATGCTGTGTGGAATACCATGACGGTGGATAAGGCATTCCTTGAGTCCATGGATGGTAGTCTTGGCAGAAGCATTGCGTGCAGGATAGGGAAGCCCATATCTGGAATGAGTGTCTATTCCAGTGAGGACAAACCTCTGCTTTTTCCATGATGGAAGAGGTCCAATATAATCAACCTGCCAGCAAGTAGCTGGCTGATCAGCCTAAGGAATGGTGCCATATTAAGTGTTAGGTATTGGTCTCTGCTGCTGGCAAATTGGGCACTCAGCAGTGGCCATAGCCAGGTCAGCCTCACTGAGTGGAAGTCCATGTTGCTGAGCCCATGTGTAACCTCCATCCTTGCCACCATGGCCACTTTATTCATGGGCCCATTGGGCGATGACATGGGTGACTGGAGAAAGAGGCTGAGTGGTATCCACAAAATGAGTCATCCTATCCACCTGATTATTAAAATCCTCCTCTGCTGAGGTCACCTGTTGGTGAGCACTCACATGATATACAAATATTTTCACAGTTTTTGACCATGTAGAAATGTCCATCCACATACCTTGTCCCCAAATTTCTTTGTCACCAATTTTCCAATCATGCTTCTTCCAAGTCCCTGATCATGCTTCCAAACAATTGGCTACAGCCCTTGAATCAGTATATAATCACACATCTGACCATTTCTCCTTCCATGAAAAGTGCACTAGCAGGTGCACTGCTCAAAGTTCTGCCCACTGGGAAGATTTCCCTTCACCACTGTCCTTCAGGGATGTCTTAGAAAGGGGCTGTAGTGCTGCAGCTGTCCAGTTTCAGGTGGTTTCTACATATCGTGCAGAACCACCTGAGAACCAGGCCCTAGTCTTCTGTCTCTCTGTCAACTGATCATAGGGAACTCCCCATGAGGCCATCAGTGCAGACTGGGGAAGAGAAGGCAGAGTGGCAGGAGTGAACACCATGCCACTTCCTTAGGTAACTTACTTGTGCTTCAGGACCTACTTGAGCCCAATCACATATATACCACTTCCATTTGATGATGGAACGCTGCTGTGCATGACCCACTTTATGGCTAGATGAGTCAGAATGCACTCAGTTCATCATAGGCAGTTCAATTCGCATGGTGACTTGATGACCCATAGTCAAACTTTCAGTTTCCACCAAAGCCCAGTAACAAGCCAAATAGCTGTCTCTCACAAAGAGAGTAGTTATGTGCAGAAAATGGCAGGGCCTTGCTCCAAAATCCCAGAGCCCTCCTCTGTGATTCACATATGGTGGCCTGCTAAAGGCTCCAAACAGCATCCCTATCTGACACTGACACCTCAAGCACCATTGGATCTGCTGGGTCATATGGCCCAAGTGGCAGAGCAGCTTGCACAGCAGCCTGGACCTGTTGCAGAGCCTTCTCCTGTTCTGGACCCCACTTAAAACTGGCAGCATTTTCTGTTACTCAATAAATGGGGCAGAGTAACAAACCCAAATGTGGAATGCATTGCCTCCAGAATCCAAATAGGACCACCAGGTGTTGTGCCTCTTTCTTGGTTGTAGGAGAGGTCAAATGCAGCAACTTATCATTCACCTTAAAGGGAATATCTCAACAGTCCCCAGACTACTGTACCCTAGAAATTTTACTGAGGTAGAAGGTCCCTGAATTTTAGTTGGATTTATTTTCCATCATTTGGTATGCAAATGTCTCACCAATAAGTCCAGTGTGTTTGCTACTTCTTGCTCACTAGATCCAGTCAGCATAATGTCATCAGTGTAATGGACCCATGTGATATCTTGCAGAAGCAAAAAGCGATGAAGGTCTCTCCAAATAAGATTATGACACAAAGCTGGAGAGTTGATATACCCCTGAAGCAGGACAGTAAAGTTATATTGCTGGCCTTGCAGCTGAAGGCAAATTGCTTCTGGTGGGCCTTATGGACAGGAATGGAGAAAAAGGCATTTGCCAAGTCAGTGGCTGCATACTAGGTACCAGGAGATGTATTAATTTGCTCAAGCAATGAAACCACATATGGTACAGCAGCTGCAATTGGAGTCGCCACTTGGTTAAGCTTATAATAATCCACTGTCATTTTCCAATATCCATCTGTCTTCTGCACAGGCCAAATGGGAGAGTTGAATGGGGATGTGGTAGAAATCACCACACCTGCATCTTTCAAGTCCTTTATGGTGCCACTAATCTTTGAAGTCCCTGCAGGGATTGATATTGTTTCTGATTTACTATTTTTTCTAGGTAGAGGCAGCTCTAATGGCTTCCATTTGGCCTTTCCCACCATAATAGTCCTTACCCTACCAGTCAGGGAGCCAATGTGGGGGTTCTGCCTGCTGCTAAGTATGTCTATGCCAGTTATGCATTTGGCACTGGGGAAATGACCACAGGATGAGTTGAGGGACCCACTGGACCCACTGTAAGTCAGAGCTAAAACTCCATTAATTATGTGACCTCCATAAGCCCCTACTTTAACTGGAGGATGACAATGATGTTTTGGGTCCCCTAGAATCAACATCAGCTCAGAGCCATTGTCCAGTAGTCCCTAAAATGTCTGATTATTTCCCTTTCCCCAGTTGCACAGTTACACTGACAAAATGCCAGTGGTCTCTTTGGGGAAGGATGGGAGAAAGATTCACTGCATAAATTGTCAGTAATGTAGTGAGGTCCTTCCTCAAGGGGACCCGACTTCCCCTTCATTCAAGGGGTTCTGGGTCTGTAAAATGGCTCAAGTCTAGAAATTGATTGAGGGGCCATGATTCTCTGTCTTTATTATTGAAATTAGTCTTTTGTCCATTCAACCTTGAAGTCTTCTGCTTGTATAAAGACAAGCAGAATGCAGTAGGCGTCCTATCAATTTCTAGGAACATCATGATTAGTCAATGCCAGAGCTCCACACAAGTCAGACTATTCTGTTTGCCACTTTGCCTCTGCTGTCCATGACGGTAGCTATGCCCACCTTGCCTTTGATGGTTGAGTACCACCACTTATCTCCTGCCACCTTGGGATCCAATTATTCCCATTGTATTTAAATTTTGTAGTTGAGTGACTGTGGTTCCCACTGTTAAATCTGACATACAGAGAAGAGCAATTACAGGGCTCTTTAAAAATGCAGGTGCTGCCCTCACAAATCTATTTCACAAGGCATTTGTCAAGGGTATATTGTCTGGATCCTCTCAGCTGGAATGAGTAGGTCTAAAGTGACTAATCCAGTCCACTATACCAATCTCCCTAAGCCTTTGGATCCCTTCCTCTATGTTAAACCAAGGGAGATCAGGCATTTCCAGCTCGCTCACAGTGGGCCATCTTTTAATCCGTATTTCAGCTAACCAAGCAAATAAACTGTTAGAACCTCTTTTTAACTCCGTGAGCTGCAACATTAAAAGCAGAGTCCCTACTTAGTGGTCCCAAATCAATAAATTCAGCCTAATCCAAGTCTGTGTTCCTTCCACCATTATCCCATACCCTTAAAATCCATTCTTATGCCTGTTCTCCAGATTTCTGTTTATATAAATTAGAGAACCGAAACAGTTCGAGTGTAGCACACCTCATCATTGTTCACACTCTCACCCTTACCTCTAGGGGCCCACTGAGACTTTAGTTATAGGTCTAGAAGCAAACAGCGGTGTTGGGGTGGCTCCTGAAGAGAATCAACATTATTTTGCTTAGCAACTGCCTCAGGGGAGGCCATCACTGTTGCCTCAGGCAGCACAGGGTTTATCTCCTCAGACAAAGATCGACAGGCTGATGGCAGCATGAGTTGGGGTGGGGATGTTGCCACTACTGGGGTTGGGGAAGCTGTTCCTTCTGGCAAAAAAGATTCATCAGAGTTTACAAACTCAGTGTCCCCAGCTTCATCAGGGTTCTCCCACACATCCCCATTCTAAGTTCCAGGGTCCCATTCTTTCCAATCAATGCCCTCACTTTAACAGTAGACACCTGATGAGGCTGTGCATGCACCTTTTGTTGCAGGCCAGCCACTCACATTATAAGAGCTCATGTCTGTTTTTCCAGTTTCAGCTCTTTCTCTAGAGGATATAAGACTCTCACTCAGGGCAATCTTAGCAGATTTGAGGCTCAGTACCTGTTTCTGAAGCTGGGAGACAGAATCCCTGGGTTCATTATTTTCTTTCATTACTTTGTTCACTGAAATTAGGAGCAACCAACCAGCATCATTATGTTCCTTGGTTCTCCACATATGGTCAAAGGTATTATGTGTAGACTCACTAAACTCCTTGCCTCTCACAAATGGTGAATTAGGAGTGTCAAATGCATTTATTTTGTATACTCTCTAAACAGTTCATGTCAAGGACTATCAGTGTTCTCCATACTATTAGAAGTAGAGTCCTAGCATTTTTGTGTCTAACCATATTAAGCAGCCAATTCCAGAAACCCCAAAACCAACGAAAGAACTCCATCCTTAATATTCTGTTCCTCTAGAACCTCTCCTGGTACTAAAATCTGCATTAGTCAGGGTTGTCTAGAGGGATAGAACTAAAAGTATACACACACACACACACACACACACACACACACACACACACACAGACACACACACACAGACACACATATATATATATGAGAATTTATTATATATTAACTTACACCATCACAAGGTCCCATAATAACTTGTGTGTAGGCTTGAGCAGCAAGGAGAGCCAGTCTGAGTCTCAAAATTGAAGAACTTGGAGTCTGATGTTCAAGGGCAAGAAGCCTCCAGCATGGGAGAAAGCTGTAGGCTGGGAGGCTAGGCCAGAATCTCCCTTTCACATTTTTCTGCCCACTTTATGTTTACTGGCAGCTGATTAGATGGTTCCCACCCAATTAAGGATGGGTCTGCCCTTCCCAGCCCAGTGACTCAAATGTTAATCTCCTTTGGCAGTACCGTCACAGACACACCCAGGATTAATACTTTGTATCCTTCAATTCAATCAAGTTGACACTCAGTATTAACCATCACAATATTCAAAGAACACAATAAGAAATGATAAGGGGGCTATTACCACTGACTGCACAGAAATACAAACAACTATCAGAGAATACTATAAATAGCTCTATGCAAATAAACTAGAAAATCTAGAAGAAATGGATAAATTCCTGGACATACACTCTCCCAGGACTGAACCACGAACAGAACAAAATGAAATAGACAGCAGAAAAAAATTTTAAAATCAGTGAAATGAAATATTGATTGTTTGAAAAGATAAACAAATTGGTAAACTGCAGGCTAGAATACACAAGAAGAGGAATACCTAAATAAATAAAATAAGAAATGTAACAAGACATTATAACTGACACCACAAGCATTCAAAAGATTATTAGATAAATGCAAAGAATTGTATGTCATGAACTGGAAAATCTAGAGAAAATGGGTAAATCTTAGAAATGGACAGCCTCTTCAGATTAAAATAGAAGAATGCAAAAGCTAGAACTGACCAAAAATGAGTAGTGAGAGTAAATCTGTAATAAAGTTTTTTGAACAAAAAGAAGCCCCATAGCCTATGTATTCTTAGTTGAATGCTACCAAACATACAAAAAATAACTAATACCATTTTTTTGAAATTATTCCAAAATATTGAGTGGGAGAGAATCCTCCCTAATTCTTTCTGCAAGCCCAGTGTCACCCTGCTACCAAAACCAAGCAAACAAGGACACAGCATAAAAAGAAAACTGTAGATTAATATTCTAGATCAACATAGACACAAAAATTCTCATGAAAATACTTGCACACTGAATCCAACAGAACATAAAAAGATAATAGACTACAATAAAGTGGGTTTTATACCAGGCTTGCAAGAATGGTTCAACATTTGTAAGTAAATAACTGTGATGTATTAAATAAACAGAATTAAGGACAAAAACTCTACTATCATCTCAATAGAAACAGAAAAACGTGATAAATTCAGCAATGCTTCATGATTAAAAACCCTCAACAAATGACACAGAAGGGAGACAAACATCAAAATAATAAAGGCCATATACTAAAAACTGACAACTAACATGGTACTGAAAGAGGACAAGTTTAAAGTAATGCCTAAAGAACTGGAACAAGAGAAAGATGTCCACTTTCACCACTACTTGTCTACATACTTCTGAAAGTCCTCCCAGGGCAGGCAGCCAAGAGAAACAAATAAAAGGCCTCAAATCAGTATAGAGGAAGTCAAATTATCTCTGTTTGCTGATGATATTACCTTATATTTAGAACAACCTAAAGGCCTACCTAAAAACTCTTAGCATTGATAAATGAATTCAGTAATCATGCAGGATACAAAATTGATGTACGAAAAGAAGTAGCATTTCTATACACCAATATTGATTGAGCTAAGAATGAAATAAAGAAGTTTACCCTATAACTGAAAAAAAATACCTAGGAATCCATCTAAGCAAGGAAGTGAAAAATTTCTATAAGGAAAACCACAATACACTATGAAAGAAATTGTAGATGACACAAACAAATGAAAAAGGCATCTTCTGGTGATGTACCTGAAGAATTAATGTAGTTAAAGGATTATACTGCTCAAAGAAATCTACAGATTCAATACAATCTTTCTCATAATACAAACACCGTCTTTCACAGAATTAGAAAAAAAAAAAGGCCTAAAATACATATGGTACTATGAAAGAGCCCAAATAAACAAAGCAATCCTAGGCAAAAAGAATGAAGCTAGAGGCATCATATTATGTGACTTCAAATTATATTGCAAGGCTATAGTAATAAAACAGCATGGTAATGGTATAAAAACAGACACATAGATCAATGAAACAGAATAGAGAACCCAGAAATAAAGCCACTTATCTACAGCCAACTGATCTTTGAAAAAGTTGACAAAAACTTACACTGGGAAAAGGACACCCTAGTAAATCAATGGTACTGGGAAGATTGCCTAGCCATAGACAGAAGAATGAACCTGGATCCTTATCTCTCATCATATATAAAAATAAACTCAAGATGAATTAAATGCTTAAATGTAAGACATGAATCTATAAAAATACTAGACGAAAATCTAGGGAACCTCTTCTGGACATTGGTCTAGGCAAACAATATATGACTAAGACTTCAAAAACACAGGCAACAAAACAAAAATAGATAAATGAGACTTAATTTAACTAAAAAGCTTCTGCACAGCAAAATAAATAATCAACATAGTGAAGACTGCCTACAGAATAGGAAAAAACATTTGGAAATAATGCATCTAACAGAGGATTAATACCCAGACTTTACAAGGAAGTCAAAAAACCACAACAAAACTCCCAAATGATCCAATTAAAAAGTGGGCAAAGGACATATTTTTAATGTTTATGCAGACATTTTTAAAAAGAAGATATGCATATGGCCAAGAAGCAATTTTAGCATGCTGAACATCACTAATCATGAGAAAAATGCAAATTAAAACCACAATGAGATAGAATCTTACCCCAGTGAGAATGGCTATTATTAAAAAGTCAGCAACAGATGTTGGTGAAGGTGTGGAGAAAATGGAATACTTATTCACTGTTGGGAGGAATGAAAATTAGTATAACCTCCATGGGAAAAAAAAGTATGAAGCATTCTCAAAGAACTAAAAATAGAACTACCATTTGATCCAGCAGTTCCACTAGTGAGTATGCAAGGAAAACAAATCTACACATCAAAAAGATACCTGCACTTGTGTGCTTATCACAGCACTATTCATAATAACAAAGAAATGGAATCAACCTAAGTGTTCATCAACAGATGACTGAATAAAAAAATGTGGTATATATACACAGTGGAATACTATTCAGCCATAAAAAGAATGAAATCATGTCTTTTGCTGCAGCATGTATGGAACTGGAGGCCATTATCTTAAGTGAAATAAGTGAACACACAAAGGAAAGTATCATATGTTCTCACTCATAAGTGAGAGCTAAATAATGTATACATATGGATATAGAGAGTGGAATGATAGACAAAGGAGACTCAGAATGGTGAGTGTATTGCAGTGGTGGGAGATAAGAAATTACTTATTGTGTGCAATGTACATTATTTTGTTTATGGATAACCTGAAAGCACTCACTTGATCCATATGCAATCTATGGGTGTGGCAGAATTGCATTTGTACCCAATAAATTTATATAAAAAAATAAATAAGTCAAAGGCAAATATTAAAAACTAAAACGCAAATGTAAGCATGCTTTCTTTTTTAAAATTAATTTTTTATTTTTGTGTGTAAGTAGTAGGTATATATATTTATGGGGTACATGAAATGTTTTAATAATGGCATGCAATGTGAAGTAATCACATCATAGAGAATAGGGTATCCATCTCCTCAAGCATTTATCCTTTGAGTCACAAACAATCCAGTAACACTCTTATTTTAAAATGTATAATTATTATTGACAATAGTCACCTTGTTGAGCTATCAAATTGTAGGTTTTACCCATTCTTTCTAGGTTTTATGGTACCCACTAGCCATCCTACCCCTGCCCCAGCCCCCAACTACCCTTCCCAGACTCTGGTAACCATCCTACTCTCTATCTCCATGAGTTCAATTGTCTTGATTTTTATATCCCTCAAAATGAGAACATGTGATGTTTGTCTTTCTGTGGCTGGATAATTTCACTTATCATAATGACTTCCAGTTCCATTCATGTTGTTGCAAATGACAAGATTTCATTCTCTTTCATGGCTGAATAGTACTCCATTGTGTCTATGTATCACATTTTATTAATTCTTTCATGTGTTGATGGACACTTAGGTTACTTCCAAATTTTAGCTATCATAAACAGTGTTGTAACAAACGCGGGAGTGCAAATATCTCTCTGATATGCTAAATTTTCTTGTTTGTGTCAGCATTGTGGAAGATCAGATGGTTGTAGGTGTGTGGCCTTATTTCTGAGTTATCTGTGCTGTTCCATTGGTCTCTGTGTTTTTGTACCAGTACCATGCTGTTTTGGTTACAGTAGCCCTGCAGTATAGTTTGAGGTCAGGTAGCATGATGCCTCCAGCTTTGCTGTTTTTACTTAGAATTGCCTTGGCTATTGGACTCTTTTTTGGTGCCATATGAATTTTAAAATACTTTTTGTTTTTTTTTAGTTCTATGAAGAACATCATTGGTAGTTTGATAGGGATAGCATTGAATTTATAAATAACTTTGGTCAGTATTGCCATTTTAACAATATTGATTCTTCCTTTCCATGAGCATGGCATTTGTGTGTGTGTGTGTGTGTGTGTGTGTGTGTGTGTGATCACTTATTTCTTTGAGCAGTGTTTTGTAGTTCTCATTGGGGAGATCTTTCATCTCCCTGCCTAGTTGTATTCCCAGGTATTTTATTCTTTTTGTGTAAATTGTGAATAGTATTGCGTTCCTGATTTGGCTCTCAGCATGACAGTTATTGGTGTATAAGAATGCTTGTCATTTTTTACATTAATTTTGTATCCTGAGACTTCACTGAAATTATCAGCTTAAGGAGCTTTTGGTCCAAGACTATGCAGTTTTCTAGATATAGAATTATGTCATCTGGAGACAGGGATAGTTTGACTTTCTCTCTTTCTATTTGGATGCCCTTTATTTTTTTTCTTTTACTTGATTGCTCTGGCCAGGTATTCCAATACTATCTAGGGGGAATGAGAGGTATTCCAATACTAACAGGAGGGATGAGAGAGAGCATCTTTGTTTTGTGCTGGTTTTCAATGGAATTCGTCCAGCTTTTGCCAATTGAGTATAATGTTGGCTGTGGGTTTTTTATATATGGCTCTTATTATTTTGAGGTATGTTCCTTCAATACCTAGTTTATTGAAACTTTTAAACATGGATGGTGTTGAATTTCATCAAAAGCCTTTTCTGAATCTATTGAAATGATCATGTAGTTTTTGTCCTTAATTCTGTTTATGTGATGAGTTGCATTTGTTTATTTGCATATGTTGAACCAAACCTTGCCTGAAGTTTTCTTCTTTTGCTGTGTCTTTTCCAAGTTTGGGTATCAGCATGATGCTGGCCTCATAGAATGAGGGAGGGAGAGCATTAGGAAAAATAGCTAATGCATGCTGGGCTTAATATCTAAGGAATGGGTTGATAGGTGCAGAAAACTACCATGGCACATGTTTCCCTATGTAACAAACCTGCACATGTACCCAGGAACTGAAAAATAACAAAATAAAATAACTTTTAATTTTAAAATCATAATAATATTTTTAAAAATTACTATACTTTTATTATATGTAAGTAAAATTTAACAGTATTTTGATACCCTTAATTATCACTGTTCATATAAAAAGCAAAAAATAGGGTGGAGCCAAGATGGCCGAATAGGAACAGCTCCAGTCTACAGCACCCAGCATGAGTGATGCAGAAGACGGGTGATTTCTGCATTTCCAACTGAGGTACCAGGTTCATCTCACTGGGGAGTGCCGGAAAGTGGGTGCAGGACAGTGGGTGCAGTGCACCGTGCGTGAGCCAAAGCAGGGCGAGGCATCACCTCACCCGGAAAGTGCAAGGGGTCAGGGAATTCCCTTTCCTAGTCAAAGAAAGGGGTGACAGACGGCACCTGGAAAATCGGGTCACTCCCACCCTAATACTGCACTTTTCCAATGGTCTTAACAAACGGCACACTAGGAGATTATATCCTGCATCTGGCTTGGAGGGTCCTATGCCCACGGAGCCTCGCTCATTGCTAGCACGGCAGTCTGAGATCAAACTGCAAGGTGGCAGTGAGGCTGGGGGAGGGGCGCCTGCCATTGTCCAGGCTTGAGTAGGTAAACAAAGCAGCCGAGAGGGAAGCTCAAACTGGGTGGAGCCCACCACAGCTCAAGGAGGCCTGCCTGCCTCTGTAGGCTCCACCTCTGGGGGCAGGGCACAGACAAACAAAAGACAGCAATAACCTCTGCAGACTAAAATGTCCCTGTCTGACAGCTTTGAAGAGAGTAGTGGTTCTCCCAGCACGCAGCTTGAGATCTGAGAATGGGCAGACTGCCTCCTCAAGGGGTCCCTAACCCCCGAGTAGCCTAACTGGGAGGCACCTCCCAGTAGGGGCGGACTGACACCTCACAAAGCCAGGTACCCCTCTGAGACAAAACTTCCAGAGGAACGATCAGGCAGCAGCATTTGCGGTTCACCAATATCCGCTGTTCTGCAGCCACTGCTGCTGATACCCAGGCAAACAGGGTCTGGAGTGGACCTCCAGTAAACTCCAACAGACCTGCAGCTGAGGTTCCTGACTGTTAGAAGGAAAACTAGCAAACAGAAAGGACATCCACACCAAAAACCCATCTGTACATTACCATCATCAAAGACCAAAGGTAGATAAAACCACAAAGATGGGGAAAAAACAGAGCAGAAAAATTGGAAACTAAAAATCAGAGCGCCTCTCCTCCTCCAAAGGAACACAGCTCCTCACCAGCAACGGAACAAAGCTGGACGGAGTGTAACTTTGATGAATTGAGAGAAGAAGGCTTCAGAAGATCAAACTACTCTGAGCTAAAGGAGGAAATTCGAACCAATGGCAAAGAAGCTAAAAACTTGAAAAAAAATTAGACGAATGGATAACTAGAATAACCAATGCAGAGAAGTCCTTAAAGGACCTGATGGAGCTGAAAACCATGGCACAAGAACTACGTGATGAATGCATAAGCCTCAGTAACTGATGCGATCAACGGGAAGAAAGGGTATCAGCGATGGAAGACGAAATGAATGAAATGAAGCATGAAGAGAAGTTTAGAGAGAAAAGAACAAAAAGAAATGAACAAAGCCTCCAAGAAATATGGGACTATGTGAAAAGACCAAATCTACATCTAATTGGTGTACCTGAAAGTGACGGGGAGAATGGAACCAAGTTGGAAAACACTCTGCAGGATATTATCCAGGAGAACTTCCCCAATGTAGCAAGGCAGGCTAACATTCAAATTCAGGAAATACAGAGAACACCACAAAGATACTCCTCAAGAAGAGCAACTCCGAGACACATACTTGTCAGATTCACCAAAGATGAAATGGAAAAAATGTTAAGGGCAGCCAGAGAGAAAGGTTGGGTTACCCACAAAGGGAAGCCCATCAGACTAACAGCGGATCTCTCGGCAGAAACTCTACAAGCCAGAAGAGAGTGGGGGCCAATATTCAACACTCTTAAAGAAAAGAATTTTCAACCCAGAATTTCATATCCAGCCAAACTAAGCTTCATACATGAAGGAGAAATAAAATCCTTTACAGACAAGCAAATGCTGAGAGATTTTGTCACCACCAGGCCTGCCCTAAAAGAGGTCCTGAAGGAAGCACTAAACATGGAAGGGAACAACCAGTACCAGCCACTGCAAAAACATGCCAAATTGTAAAGACCATCAAGGCTAGGAAGAAACAACATCAACTAACGAGCAAAATAAGCAGCTAACATCATAATGACAGGATCAAATTCACACATAACAATTCTTACCTTAAATGTAAATGGGCTAAATGCTTCAATTAAAAGGCACAGACTGGCAATTTGGATAGAGTCAAGACCTATCAGTGTGCTGTATTCAAGAAACCCATCTCATGTGCAGAGACACACATAGGCTCAAAATAAAGGGATGGAGGAAGATCTACCAAGCAAATGGAAAACAAAAAAAGGCAGGGGTTGCAATCCTGTCTCAGAAAAAACAGACTTTAAACCAACAAAGATCAAAAGAGACAAAGAAGACATTACATAATGGTAAAGGGATCAATTCAACAAGAAGAACTAGCTATCCTAAATATATATGCACCCAATACAGGAGCACCCAGATTCATAAAGCAAGTCCTTAGAGACCTACAAAGAGACTTAGACTCCCACACAATAATAATGGGAGACTTTAACACCCCACTGTCAACATTAGACAGATCAACAAGACAGAAAGTTAAGAAGGATATCCAGGAATTGAACTCAGCTCTGCACCAAGCGGACCTAATAGACATCTACAGAACTCTCCACCCCAAATCAACAGAATATACATTCTTTTCAGCACCACATCACACCTATTCCAAAATTGACCACATAGTTGGAAGTAAAGCACTCCACAGCAAATGTAAAAGAATAGAAATTATAACAAACTGTCTCTCAGACCACAGTGCAATCAAACTAGAACTCAGGATTAAGAAACTCACTCAAAACCACTCAACTACATGGAAACTGAACAACCTGCTCCTGAATGACTACTGGGTACATAACAAAATGAAGGCAGAAATAAAGATGTTCTTTGAAACCAACGAGAAGAAAGACACAACATACCAGAATGTCTGGGACACATTCAAAGCAGTGTGTAGAGGGAAATTTATAGCACTAAATGCCTACAAGAGAAAGCAGGAAAGATCTAAAATTGGCACCCTAACATCACAATTAAAAGAACTAGAGAAGCAATAGCAAACACATTCAAAAGCTAGCAGAAGGCAAGAAATAACTAAAATCAGAGCAGAACTGAAGGAAATAGAGACACAAAAAGCCCTTCAAAAAATCCGTGAATCCAGCAGCTGGTTTTTTGAAAAGATCAACAAAATTGATAGACTGCTAGCAAGACTAATAAAGAAAAGAGAGAATAATCAAATAGACGCAATAAAAAATGACAAAGGGGACATCACCACCGATCCCACAGAGATACAAACTACCATCAGGGAATACTATAAACACCTCTACGCACATAAACTAGAAAATCTAGAAGAAATGGATAAATTCCTCGACACATACACCCTCCCAAGACTAAACCAGGAAGAAGTTGAATCCCTTAATAGACCAATAACAGGCTCTGAAATTGAGGCAATAATTAATAGCTTACTAACCAGAAAAAGTCCAGGACCAGATGGATTCACAGCCAAATTCTACCAGAGGTACAAGGAGGAGCTGGTACCATTCCTTCTGAAACTATTCCAATCAATAGAAAAAGAGGGAATCCTCCCTAACTCATTTTATGAGGCCAGCATCATCCTGATACCAAAGCCGGGCAAAGACACAACAAAAAAAGAGAATTTTAGACCAATATCCTTAATGAACATTGATGCAAAAATCCTCAATAAAATACTGGCAAACCAAATCCAGCAACACATCAAAAAGCTTATCCACCATGATCAAGTGGGCTTCATCCCTGGGATGCAAGGCTGGTTCAACATATGAAAATCAATAAATGTAATCCAGCATATAAACAGAACCAAAGACAAAACCCACATGATTATCTCAATAGATGCAGAAAAGGCCTTTGACAAACTTCAACAACGCTTCATGCTAAAAACTCTCAATAAATTAGGTACTGATGGGACGTATCTCAAAATAATAAGAGCTATCTGTGACAAACCCACAGCCAATATCATACTGAACAGACAAAAACTGGAAGCATTCCCTTTGAAAACTGGCACAAGACAGGGATGCCGTCTCTCACCACTCCTATTCAACATAGTGTTGGAAGTTCTGGCCAGGACAATCAGGCAGGAGAAGGAAATAAAGAGCATTCAATTAGGAAAAGAGGAAGTCAAATTGTCCCTCTTTGCAGATGACATGATTGTATATCTAGAAACCCCATTGTCTCAGCCCAAAATCTCCTTAAGCTGATAAGCAACTTCAGCAAAGTCTCAGGATACAAAATCAATGTGCAAAAATCACAAGCATTCTTATACACCAATAACAGACAAACAGAGAGCCAAATCATGAGTGAACTCCCATTCACAATTGCTTCAAAGAGAATAAAATACCTAGGAATCCAACTTACAAGGGATGTGAAGGACCTCTTCAAGGATAACTACGAACCACTGCTCAATGAAATAAAAGAGGATACAAACAAATGGAAGAACATTCCATGCTCATGAGTAGGAAGAATCAATATCATGAAAATGGCCATACTGCCCAAGGTAATTTATAGATTCAATGCCATCCCCATCAAGCTGCCAATGACTTTCTTCACAGAATTGGAAATAACTACTTTAAAGTCCATATGGAATCAACAAAGAGCCCACATTGCCAAGTCAATCCTAAGCCAAAAGAACAAAGCTGGAGGCATCACGCTACCTGACTTCAAACTATACTACAAGGCCACAGTAACCAAAACAGCATGGTACTGGTACCAAAACAGAGATATAGACCAATGGAACAGAACAGAGCCCTCAGAAATAATGCCATATATCTACAAATATCTGATCTTTGACAAACCTGACAAAAACAAGCAAGGGGGAAAGGATTCCCTATTTAATAAATGGTGCTGGGAAAACTGGCTAGCCATAAGCAGAAAGCTGAAACTGGATCCCTTCCTTACACCTTATACAAAAATTAATTCAAGATGGATTAAAGACTTACATGTTAGACCTCAAACCATAAAAACCCTAGAAGAAAACCTAGGCAATACCATTCAGGACATAGGCATGGGCAAGGACTTCATGTATAAAACACCAAAAGCAATGGCAACAAAAGCCAAAATTGACAAATGGGATCTAATTAAACTAAAGAGCTTCTGCACAGCAAAAGAAACCACCATCAGAGTGAACAGGCAACCTACAGAATGGGAGAAGATTTTTGCAACCTACTTATCTGACAGAGGGCTAATATCCAGAATCTACAATGAACTCAAACACATTTACAAGAAAAAAACAAACAACCACATTAAAAAGTCGGCGAAGGATATGAACCCACACTTCTCAAAAGAAGACATTTATGCAGCCAAAAAACACCTGAAAAAATGCTCATCATCACTGGCCATCAGAGAAATGCAAATCAAAACCACAATGAGATACCATCTCACACCAGTTAGAATGGCAGTCATTAAAAAGTCAGGAAACAACAGGTGCTGGAGAGGATGTGGAGAAATAGGAACACTTTTACACTGTTGGTGGGACTGTAAACTAGTTCAACCATTGTGGAAGTCAGTGTGGCAATTCCTCAGGGATCTAGAACTAGAAATACCATTTGACCCAGCCATCCCATTACTGGGTATATATCCAAAGGATTATAAATCATGCTGCTATAAAGACACATGCACACGTATGTTTATTGTGGCGCTATTCACAATAGCAAAGACTTGGAACCAACCCAAATATCCAACAATGATAGACTGGATTAAGAAAATGTGGCACATATACACCATGGAATACTATGCAGCCATAAAAAATGATGAGTTCATGTCCTTTGTAGGGACATGGAGGAAGCTGGAAACCATCATTCTCAGCAAACTATCACAAGGACAAAAAACCAAAAACCACATGTTCTCACTCATAGGTGGGAATTGAACCATGAGAACACATGGACACAGGAAGGGGAACATCACACAGTGGGGACTGTTGTGGGTTGGGGGGAGGGGGGACGGATAGCATTAGGAGATACACCTAATGCTAAATGACGAGTCAATGGGTGCAGCACACCAACATGGCACATGTGTACATATGTAACCTGCATGTTGTGCACATGTACCCTAAAACTTTAGGGTACATGTATAATAAAGGTTAAAGTATAATAATAATAATAAAAAATAAAAATAAAAAGCAAAAAATATACAATTTTTTTTAAAAAGAAAACTTAAAAAAGCTCTACACCCTAAATTGGTTTACCCACTTCTTAACTTTTTATTGTTTCTATTTATATCATATTTACTAAGTCTTGAAAAGTTTTTGTAGTTATTATTTTTAATTGGTTCATCATTCAATCTTTGTGCTATGAGTGAGAGTAGTTTACACACCATAGTTATGTTGTTATAGAATTTTGTGTTTTCCATGTCCTTACTATTAGCAGTGAGTTTGTACCTTCAGGTGATTAGTTATTTCTCACTGGCATCTTTTTCTTCCTGATCGAAGTCCCTTTAGCATTCCTTTAGGACGGGTCTGGTGTTGATGAAATCCCTCAGCTTTTGTTTTTCTGGGAAAATCTTTATTCCCTCTTCATGTTTAAAGGACATTTTCACCAGATATACTATTCAGGGGTAAAAGATTTTTTCCTTTAGGACTTTAGGTAAATCATTCGAGTCTCTCCTAGTTTGTAAGGTTTCCATTGAAAAGTCTGCTGTCAGACATACTGGAGCTCCATTTTATGTTATTTGTTTCTTGTTTCTTACTGCTTTTAGGAATCTTTATTTATCCTTGAACTTTGTGAGTTTATTAAATAGTTTGATTATTTGGGTTAAGTCCGTTTGGTGTTGCATAATCTTCCTGTACTTGGACGTTGATATCTTTCTCTGCGTTTGGGAAGTTCTTATTATCTCTTTGAATAAACTTTCTACCCATATCTCTTTCTCAGTCTTGTCTTTGAGGCCAATAACTTTTAGATTTACCCTTTTGTGGCTACTTTCTAGAATCTTTAGGTGTGCTTCATTGTTTTTTGTCTTTTTTTAATACTCTGTGTATTTTAAATAGCCTGTCTTCAGGCTCACTAATTTTTTCTTTTGCTTTATCAATTCTTCTATTGAAAGACTTCTGCATTCTTCAGTACATGAATTGAGTTTTTCATATCCAGAATTTCTGCTTGATTCTTTTCAAATTATCTCTGTCTCTTTATTTAGTTTATCTGATGAAATTCTGATTTTTTTCTCCGTGTTATCTTGGATTTCTTTGAGTTTCCTCAACACATCTATTTTGAATTCTCTGAAAGGTAACATATTGTTCCTCCAGTATTGGTCCCTGGTGCTTTATTGAGTTCATTTGGTGAGGTCATGTTTTTCTCAATGGTGCTGATGCTGGTAGATGTTCTTGAGTGTCTGGCCATTGAAGAGGTAGATATTCATTGCAGGCTTCACTGTTTAGGGTTGTTTATATTTGTCCTTCTTGGGAAGGCTTTCCAGATATTTGAAAGAACTTGGGTGTCGTGATGTGTATTAGGGATCTCCAGAGAGACAGAAGTAATAGGATACATGTATATATGAAAGGGAGTTTATTAGTGATAATTGACTCACACTATCACAAAGTACAATTTCCCAATAGGCTGTCTGCAAGCTGAGGAGCAAGGAAGTCAGTAGAGGCTCAGTCCAAGTCCCAAAACCTCAAAAACAGGGAAGCCAACAGTGTAGCCTTCAATGTGTCGCTGAAGGCTTAAGAGCCCCTGGCAAACCACTGGTGTAAGTTCAAGACTCCAAAAGCTGAAGAACCTGCAGGCTGATGTTCAAGGGCAGGAAGCATCCAGAACAGTAGAAGGATCAAAGTCAGAAGACTCAGCAAGTCAGTTTTTTCCACTTTCTTCCACCTGCTTTTTCTAGCTGTGCTGGCAGCCAATTGGATGGTTTCCACCAAAATGGAGGGTGGATCTGCCTCTTTCAGTCCACTGACTGAAATGTTAATCTTCTCTGGGAAGACCCTCAGAAACACACCCAGAAACAATACTTTGCATCCTTCAATCAAGTTGACACTTAATATTAACCATCACATAATTTAAGCTGTATCTGCTTTAGATGACATCCCAAGCCTAGTAACGCTGTGGTTCTTGCAGACTCATAGAGGGTACTGCCTTGATAGTCTTGTACAAGATCCATTAGAATTCTCTGGATTACTAGGGAGAGATTCCTATTATTTTCCCTTACATTCCTCAAAAGAAACCGTATCTCTTTCTGTTCTGAGCCTCCTGGAATTAGAGGTGGCATGACACAAAAACCTGCATGGTTACCACAACTAGGACTGTGCTGTGTTAGACCTGAAGCCATCACAGCACTGGATCTCACCCAAGACCTTAGGTACTTCCGATGTTCATAAAGGCTCTGGGGCTCTATACGTGGCATGTGGCAAAGCCAGCCAGGCCATGGTTCTTCCCTTCAGGATGGCGAGTTCCCCCAGGCCCCAGGAGGGTCCAGAGGTACCACCCAGGAGTCAGGGACTAGAGTCAAATACCTTAAAAGTCTACCTGGTTTTCTATTATACTGTAGCTGAACTGGCACTCAAGTCACAGGACACAGCACTTCCACTTTTTTCTCCTTTTTCCAAAGGATGAGCCTCACCCAGTAGCCACTGCCACCACAGACTATGGAGAGTACTGCCAGAATACTGTTGATGTTCCTTTAAGGCTCAAGAGCTCTTAAGTCAGTTTGTGGTGAATGCTGCTTGGCCTGCAACTCACCCTCTAGGGTACTGGGCTCTCTGCTGGCCCATGGCAGGTCCAGAGGTGCTGTACAAGTGTCAAATCTTAGAATCAAGGATCCCAGCTAGGCGTGGTGGCTCACACCAGTAAGCCCAGCACTTTGGGAGGCCAAAGCAGGCAGATCCTGAGGTGAGGAGATCAAGACCATCCTGGCCAACATGGTGAAACCCCATCTCTACTAAAAATACAGAAATTAGCTGGGTGTGGTGGCGCATGCTTGTAGTCTCAGCTACTTGGGAGGCTCACAGGAGAATCGCTTGAACCCAGCAGGCAGAAGTTGCAGTGAGCTGAGATCGCACCACTGCACTCCAGTGTGGCAACAGAGTGAGACTCCATCTCAAAATATAAAACAAACAAAACACAGAATCAGGGATCCCAAAATCCAGCTTGGTTCTCTGACACACTGTGGCCATTCTGGTACCTAAGGTTCAAGGCAAAGTCCCCTTTATTTTTTTCTCTACTTTTCTCAAGAAGGAGTTTTTCCCCACAGCTACCACAGGTGGTAATGTGCTGGGTCTCACCTGAAGCCAACAAGCCTAAGGCTCACGCACAGCCCTTGAGGTAGTATGTGAGTATCACTGCTGATTATTCAGGGTCCAAGGGCTCTTCAGTTAGCAGGTAACAAATGCTAGGACTGGGTTTTTCCCTTTAAGGTAGAAGGTTCTCTTTGGGCCCAGGGTCTGTCTGGAAATGTCCTGGAGCTAGTGCCTGGAATAAGGCCTCACTACTCTTAACTGGTGCCCTATTATGCTATGGTAGAGCTGGTATTTAAGATGCAAGACAAATCCTCCCCACTCTTCCATGTTTTCTTCTCAAGCAGAAGGAAGGGGTCTCTTTTGGAGCTGCAATCTCGGCAGCCTTGGGTTAGGGGAGGGGTGATAGCAGCTCTCCCTTTCCCACCCCAGCTGATGTCTCACTATGTCAGGTGCTTCCCCAGTTCACTGTCTCTGGGCCTAGTTCAGCAATAGGACTCACTTACAAGTTGAAGGCCTTATGGCCTAGGCTGCCTTTTATGTTTACTTAGAGACCCAGACCACTTTAGCCCTTGGTGGTAGGGTTTGCAGGAACTCAAGTTGAGACCACTGGAAACAGTGATTCCCCTCTGGTTAGGGCTGGGTGAAGTTCTCCCTCCATGGGCAGATATCAGCTGAGTTTGGTCCAGTTTTCCTTTCTGCTCTAAGAGGACAGCCCTGAGTTCAATGTCTCATCATTGCTGTGTTCTTCCTTCCCCAGCGCCCAGAGACACTCTGAATTATGCTGCTGCTGCCAGGTTGTGGGGGTGTGGTGGTGTCAGTGAGTCAAGACTATTTTTTCTATTTCTTCAATGCCTCTTTCAACAATATGAAATTAAAACCAGGTACTATGAGGGCTCACCTGATTTTTGGTTCTTATGAATGTGTCTTTTTTTGTAGATAGTTGTTAAATTGGTGTCCTTGTGAGAGGTGACAACATGCTAGCAGCCCTCGCTCGCTCTCAGCACCTCCTCAGGCCTCAGCGTCCGCTCTGGCAGCACTTGAGGAACACTTCAGCCCGCCTCTGCACTGTGGGAGACCTTCTCTGGGCTGGCCAAGGCTGCAGCCAGCTCCCTCTGCTTGTGGGGAGGTGTGGAGGGAGAGGCTCGGGTGGGAACCAGGGCTGCACGCAGCAATCACGGGCCAGTGCGAGTTCCGAGTGAGCGAGGGCTGGGCAGCCCCGCACTCTGAGCAGCTAGCAGCCGGCAGGCACCGCCGGCCCCAGGCAGTGAGGGGCTTAGCACCTGGGCCAGCATCTGCGGAGGGTGCGCCGGGTCCCCCAGCACTGCAGGCCCACCCGCGCCGCGCTTGAATTCTCGTCAGGCCTCAGCCATCTCCCTGCAGGGCAGGGCTCAGGACCTGCAGCCTGCCATGCCCAAGCCCTCATGCCCACCCCTTGCACCGCACGAGCCTTCCCGACGGACCTCGCCCCCTGCTCCGAGGCCCCAGGTCCCATGGACGGCCCAAGGGCTGAAGAGTGCCGGCACCTAGCACTGGACTAGCAGGCAGCTCCGCCTGCGGCCCCTGCGCGGGATCCACTAGGCGAAGCCAGCTGGGCTCCTGAGTCGGGTGGTGACTTAGAGAACTTTTATGTCTAGATAAAGGTTTGTAAATGCACCAATCGGCACTTTGTGTCTAGCTAAAGATTTGTTTATATATATATATATATATAATTTTTTTTATTATACTTTAAGTTCTAGGGTACATGTGCACAATGTGCAGGTTTGTTACATATGTATACATGTGCCATGTTGGTGTCATTTACATTAGGTATATCTCCTAATACTATTCCTGCCCCCTTCCCCCACCTCACGACAGGCGCCAGTATGTGATGTTCCCCTTCCTGTGTCCAAGTGTTCCTTATTCAATTCCCACCTATGAGTGAGAACATGCGGTGTTTGGTTTTTTGTCCTTGTGATAGTTTGCTGAGAATGATGGTTTCCAGCTTCATCCATGTCCCTACAAAGGACATGAACTCATCATTTTTTATGGCTGCATAGTATTCCATGGTGTATATGTGCCACATTTTCTTAATCCAGTCTATAATTGTTGGACATTTGGGTTGGTTCCAAGTCTTTGTTATTGTGAGTAGTGCCGCAATAAACATACGTGTGCATGTGTCTTTATAGCAGCATGATTTATAATCCTTTGGGTATATACCCAGTAATGGGATAGTTGAGTCAAATGGTATTTCTAGTTCTAGATCCCTGAGGAATCGCTACACTGTCTTCCACAATGGTTGAACTAGTTTACAGTCCCACCAACAGTGTCAAAGTGTTCCTATTTCTCCACATCCTCTCCAGCACCTGTTGTTTCCTGACTTTTTAATGATGTCCATTCTAACTGGTGTGAGATGATATCTCATTGTGGTTTTGATTTGCATTTCTGTGATGGCCAGTGATGATGAGCATTTTTTCATGTGTCTGTTGGCTGCATAAATGTCTTCTTTTGAGAAGTGTCTGTTCATATCCTTGGCCCACTTTTTGATGGGTTTTTTTTTTTCTTGTAAATTTGTTTGAGTTCTTTGTAGATTCTGGAGATTAGCCCTTTGTCAGATGAGTAGATTGCAAAAATTCTCCAAGTCCCCACTAGATTAGCTAGACACAGAGCACTGATTGGTGCATTTACAAACCTTGAGCTACACACAGAGTGCTGATTGGTGCATTTACAAGCCTTTAGCTAGACACAAAAGCTAGACACAAAAGCACCCATCAGCACTGTATGTCTAGCTCAAGGTTTGTAAACACACCAATCAGTGCTCTGTGTCTAGCTAATCTAGTGGGGACTTGGAGAACTTTTGTGTCTAGCTAAAGGATTGTAAATGCACCAATCAGCACTCTGTGTCTAGCTCAAGGTTTGTAAATGCACCAATCAGTGCTCTGTGTCTAGCTAATCTAGTGGGGACTTGGAGAACTTTTGTGTCTAGCTAAAGGATTGTCAATGCACCAATCAGCACTCTGTGTCTAGCTCAAGGTTTGTAAATGCACCAATCAGCACCCTGTCAAAACGGACCAATCAGTTCTTTGTAAAATGGGCCAATCAGCTCTCTGTAAAATGGACCAATCAGCGGGATGTGAGTGGGGTCAGATAAGGGAATAAAAGCAGGCTGCCAGAGAGCCAGCAGTGGCAACCCACTCGGTTCCCCTTCTTCCTGTGGAAGCTTTGTTCTTTTGCTCTTCACAGTAAATCTTTCTGCTGCTCACTCTTTGGGTCCGTGCTGCCTTTAAGAGCTTTAACACTCACCGTGAAGGTCTGCAGCTTCACTCCTGAGGCCAGCGAGACCACGAACCCACCAGAAGGAACGAACAACTCCAGACGCGCCGCCTTTAAGAGCTGTAACACTCACCCGAAGGTCTGCAGCTTCACTCCTGAAGTCAGTGAGATCATGAACCCACCAGAAGGATGAAACTCTGGACACATCTGAACATCAGAAGGAACAAACTCCAGACACACCATCTTTAAGAACTGTAACACTCACCGCGAGGGTCCGCGTCTTCATTCTTGAAGTCAGCGAGACCAAGAAACCACCAATTCTGGACACATTTGTGGGCGGGACAATTGATGGAGCCTTCTACTTTGCTCTTTCTCTGCCTCCTCTCAAGCATGTTTTCTTAAAAATACATTGTTATTAAAAACACTTGGTATCTGGAGTGTCTTGAAAAACATCACTAATGAGCCTTGATCTATTTGCAAATGGAAAGTGAAAATTTGTTTAGTAAGCTAAAAAAATGGTTTCAATTGTTTTATTATTATGTCTCTGAGACAGAAGCTGAAATTTTAAAACCTTTTATCTGTGCTCAGTATAAAAAAAAATGTGTTTGCATTTTCAAGGCTCTTCCTGAGAAACTCAGACTCTTGGCTGATGATTGCTTGTCCTGGAGAGATAAATCTGTCTTTGGCATGGAAGAAATCTTATTTATCGGAACTTCTCTGCATAGCACTGTTGGAGTATTGTGATGAATTAGAAAGACCATGGACTTTGTAGTTTGGACCTTCTGGATTTAAATCCTGGTTCTATATGTCTTAGCTCTGAGACTGTGTGTGTGTGTGTGTTTCTAGACAGGATCTTGCTTTGTCACCCAGACTCAAGTGCAGTGGTGTAATCATACCTCACTGCTGCCTGGAACTCCTGGCCTCAAACAATGCTCTCCCCTCAGGTTTCCTGAGTAGATGGAATTGCACCACTAACGCCAGCTAAGGTTTTAAAATTTTCTGAAGAGATGGGATCCCACTATGTTGCTCAGTCTGCTCTAGAACTCCTGCTTCAAGGGATCCTCCCATCTCAACCTCCTAAAGTGCTGGGATTATGGGCATGACCCACCATGCTCAGCCAAAATGTGTGAGAAGAAAATT